>NC_000005.10:110412837-110715867 GCF_000001405.40 Homo sapiens
GAAAAGCATACTAAACTTTCAGTGTATTAAATATTAATTTTTTAAAAAAGTTTTAAAACATAAGTTTCAAAGCCTTACACATTAGGCTAAAGTTGCTTGTTTCATCATCCCCTTGCAATAATTTCTACTACTCTTAGTAAAAAATCTAACCTGAAATCCATGTGTGATATTTAATAATGAGTGTCAACTTGATTGGATTGAAGGATGCAACGTATTGTTCCTGGGTGTGGCTGTGAGGACGTTGCCAAAGGAGATTAACATTTGAGTCAGTGGACTGGGAAAGCAGACCCACCCTCAATGTGGGTGGGCATAATCTAATCAGCTGCCAGTGCAGCTAGAAAAAAAGCAGGCAGAGGAACATGGAAGGACTAGACTGGCTGAGTCTTCTTGCCTCCATGTTTCTCCCGTGCTGGATGCTTCCTGCCCTTGAACATTGGACTCCAAGTTCTTTAGCTTTTGGACTCCTGGACTTACACCAGTGGTTTTCCAGGGGCTCTCAGGCCTTCAGCCACAGACTGAAGGCTGCATTTGGCTTCCCTACTTTTGAGGTTTTGAGACTTGGACTATCTTCCTGGCTCCTTAGCTTGCAGATGGCCTATTGTGGGACTTCACCTTCTGATCGTGTGAGTCAATACTCCTTAATAAACTCCCTTTCATATATACATCTATCTTATTAGTCCTGTACCTCTAGAGAACCCTGACACAGGATGGCTTCCCTTGTTGCATAATCTGGACCAAACTTATCTTTCTAATTTCATCTCCTCTCCATCCCTATGGGGCCTCTTCTTCAGCTCTGCAGGATTCTTTGCCTTTCTTTGAGCATTCTAAACTCACTCCCATTCCATCAGGATATGTTGGGTTATGTGTAGTACTATGTAACTCCTCAAATCTCAAACACTTAAAACAGAAAAGATTTTCCTTCTCAGTTCCATCATTTTTATTAAGGGAGCCAAAGGTAAGAGGGGACTCACTATTTTGAACAGAAATTATTGTTCTAAAGGGAATTATTATTCTAAAGGGAAAAAAGACACTGTAAATTGTCAAGCCAACAAGTAAATACTTCAGCCCAGAAGTGACACACATAGCTTCTGTCCATAATCATTGGCCAGAAATAACCATATGACCCACCACAACACAATGGAGCCAGAAAATAGAAAGCACTCCCGTGAATCTCAAAGGAGGGAGAAGCAGAAATATTTAGCAAAAAGCATGAATCATTACTCTATCAATTTTTCACTTGCTACTGATAGTTTGGGGAATGCTCTTTCCTCTGAAAGTCAGATGACTCACTCTTTCGCTTCATTCTGGTCTTTGTCAAAATCCTTAGAAAGGTCATTCCTGCTGTTATTTTTGTTCTTCACTTGTCTCTACCTGAAATTATATCATATTTTTATTTTTTGCTTGTTTTACACACACACATACAAGTGCATTATTTTTAATATGTACAGTATTATATTTTCTGTCCTGTTCATTGATTCATTGATATATCCCCAGTGACTAAAAGTATTTGGAGCTCAGCAGACAATGAACAAATATTTTCTGAATGAGTGATTGCATATATTAGATTGATGCATACATGTTTAGAACATATATCTCTAATTCTATCTCTATCTATATGGTGAAATATCAGTTCATATATATGTTGCAAAGAGGCAAATTTAATTTTATACCACATTTTAACTATAAAGAGAAAATTTAGTTTCTAGAGGTTTAGAAAACCATTCAGTTCTTCCTCATGAGGCTCCCTCTGCTGGTTTTCTTGTAGCCAGGCCAAGACGAAGCTCAGTAAGTCAGTTTCAAAATGACTCCAATCTAGAAAATCAAGAGAGCTTTTAAATATTAATTTGCTTTCTTTAGGATAGCTGTTTTGGTTTTTATATTCCTTTTCCCTCCATTCTCTGTTCCAATACGGCATTTAGATTTATAGGGAGAGGTCTGGTGTGTGTAAGGAAGTAGATGGGAGCCCGTGTCCTTAAATCTTCCCAATGTTCACTTACTCCTCCCTGACCTCAACTGTAGAGTGGATAAACTGGTATGCTTTCTTCAATAATGTGCACTGAAGTAGATCTAATTTCTGTCTATTTGGTCTTAATGTGCTAATACCAGAGACCTGTCTCCTATCATTTGCTTCTTTGCTTCTCTTCTCACCCTGACAATTGCATGTGTCATTGAAAATGTTTGCATACAATATCCCTCCTAGTGACTTAACAGTTCCTCAGTCCTGCAGGAGCTAATGCTACTAACCTGTCAGACTCAGGCTCCTTATCTATTTACATGTTTCTAGCCCACACCCCTTCTCCTGAGGTACAGAGTAAGGACATCAAGCACCCTTAAATCTATCTTTCTCTCCAACTTTTTTTTTTTTTTTGAGATGGAGTCTCACCCTGTCGCCCAGGCCGGAGTGCAGTGGTGCGATCTCGGTTCACTGCAAGCTCTGCCTCCCAGGTTCACGCCATTCTCCCGCCTCAGCCTCCCGAGTAGCTGGGACTACAGGCGCCTGCCACCACACCTGGCTAATTTTTTTGTATTTTTAGTAGAGATGGGGTTTCACTGTGTTAGCCAAGATGGTCTCGATCTCCTGACCCGTGTTCCACCCACGTTGGCCTCCCCAAGTGCTGGGATTACAGGCCTGAGCCACCGTGCCCGACCCCAACTTTTTTTTTTTACCCTCCACAATGTCTCTGCTTGGAATAGATTGAGTCTTTCCTTCCTTAAGACATGCCTTCCTATGAGGCCATAAGTCTCATGACTTAGTTATCATGATGGAGAATGTATGCTATGGAAGAAATTCTACTGTATGTGTTCTCTAGTCATTGCTTTTTATTGGGAAGCTTTTGATTGGGAAGCCAAGCAAAAAGCTAGAGCTAGAGATTAACCGATTGGTTTGTTCAGATTTTCTATTTCTTCGTGTTTTGAAGCAATATTCAAAGCATTACTGGATTGCTAACAGTCTGGCTATGTATTAAAAAGCTGCACTGGTGATTCTGAGATGTTTGACCTTTACCTTATTCGTTAATTTATGAAAGATGATTCACCCCCTTTCCAAAATAGAGTCAGCTTCGGAAATGTTACTGGAAGGTTGGATATCACAGGGATCTTCCAACTAAAAAATGTTTTGAAAAGACATTTTATTTTTATTTTGGCTTTTCAGTGAAACAGGAAAAAAATAACAAGCCAAATTATCCTTGAAATCTGTGTCACCATGAAAAATGCATGTAGCAGAAAAGTAACTTAAGTCATCAACAGAATTTGTAAAACTATACAAATATATAAATGTATTATAGAAGATAATTTAAAATGCATTTTGCTCTAAGTTTCCAAATGCATTCTGCATGTCAAATTTAATAACTAGAATCAGTACAAGGAGCCTTACAGATACCTAGTCTCCAGTGGCCAACCTGAGGTTGAGAAGTACTGTGTGGACTGAATTTGTTCCTACACATGTCTTTTCTACAGAGGCATTGGCACAACAGTTTCATGACTCTACCTTCCTTTGTATTAAATATTTAGCCAACAGAGGAGGTGACAAGTGTCATTGATTAATCACAGATAAAACAAATAGGGGTGTTCTTATTTATTTTACTTCAGCAAATTGAGATGTGAAGAAGAATGAAGAAGCTGGAGGAGACTATGGTGACTTTAATTGAGAGTCACTGGCAGACACAAAGTGAAAACTTAGTATGTGAGCAGTTGGATAACGTTTGAAAGCAACCCCAAAGCAATTTCCAATCAGCTAACTTTGAAATTTGGAAGCAAAGTTCAGTGAAACTATAGAACTGCTCTTCTCAACTAGAAGCAATATGAAAAAGGACACTCAGAAAATAATTAACTAGTAGACAGTTACAGAGAAGGTTTTTACTGGTAGAAACAAAAGAATCAATTACTTAAATTATAATTGGTAAACATCACTATAGTTTCTAAAACTGTTGGTGTGAGTTATTTTTATCTGTTACCTCTTTATGCTCCCTATCTCCAAACACCCACTCATCAATGCATGAGTCAAGATATTTTAGATATTTTATTCCTTAAATGTCTATTTGGTATACCCCACAAACCACTATAAATCATTTGCTTTCCTTTTTTCAAAACAAAATTCTATCAGGAAAAAAGCTTATGTTCATGCTTCTGTTACTCAGAATTTACTACAGTATTCTAACACTAGTGAAACTTAAAACCTTAAAAGTTTTATGAGTATTCTCAATGAGGCAGCATGTGTGAAAGAGAAATTGCTTTCGTGGTTACTAAGAGAAACCTATGGAAACTTATGAAACCCATAATAAATAAATGTAGGGAGTCTTGAGTTTATTCTTTCAAAATAAACGTAAGCATAAATGATAAAACAGCATGGAAAGAAGTTTTAGATAGAACTTTAGACCTGAGATACGTTAACACTTTTTAACAGTAGAGGCATTTAAAGGTGACTAAGAGCCATGCAAGGTAAACAGACATGTAGAATCTTTCTCTTTCTCTATTTTTCTCCTATCAACTCAAAGTGGGAAGAATGGGAAAACAACTAAGGCTGAGAAATCATAAGCTGAACAATAAGACAGTAGTTGAAATAATTTATCTGGTACCCAACCCAGTCTATGACTCAGAATCCTTTGTGAGTTTTGAAGCAAAGTGAATACTAAACATAAATTACAAAGAATCCAACTGAATTTGTGTTAAATGAACTTTTTGGAAGAATTAAGAATTAGTTATTAAAGTATAGTAAAGTTTATTTTTAAGCCATTTATATAAACTTAAAAGGTGATGCTTTCTTTCAAACTTTTTTCTTTTTCTTTTTTTTTTTTTTTTTTTTGTCCGGGGTAAAATAAATAAGCAGAAAACAAGGCCAAAGATGCAAAAGAAAAGAAAGGAGAGTTAACTTTTATTGAATGGTCTGATAACCTTCTAAGCCATACAATGTTCATTTATTTAACTAGTGTCTTTCATCTCCAAGTCCACCCTTGTTTTCTCTGCTTTGTGATGCCGGAGAACAGGAAGCACATCAGGAAGAGTTTCAGGATGAGAGGGAAGAAAATACCTGATTCTTCCAGTTTTCTCACTCTTTCTGATAGTGTGGTTTCAGCAAGATACAAGTTGTTTCAGTTTTCACTTTTTTCTGCACTCCCAGAACCAGTTGTATTGTGCCCCCTCAAAAGTACCAGCAATAACTGGGCAATGTCTCCCTGTCAAGGATCCGAGTCCGGCTGTGTGAAGTGCCTTCTACATCCCTTCGATTTTAACAATGCAAACCTCTTCTCTCTGATTCCATGGCTCCAAATGTGGTAGCAGTTTCCAGCAGCTACTGTTTCAGTGTTATTTCTATGTTCCCTTTCCATTTATTCAGTTTCTAACACCTTTGAAAATAATTTTTTACATTAAATTCTCTCTGTTAAAATGACTGACAGGTTTGTTTACTTTCCTAATTAGCTTCTAAATGATATCACTCTTTACATAAATTGTGTCAATTTTATAAATGAGTAAATGGAAATAAAAACGGGTTCAGTAACTTGCCTAATGTTCCCTAGTTGGCAGAAGGCGTAACTAGAGTGTGATTCCAGATCTACACCCCACAGTCTTTGCTAATATTGCAAAAAGAATCAGTGAAATAGGAGAAAGACCATGAGAAATGCATGTTGCCAAATATTAAGAATTTTAAAATAATTTAAGAATAAAGGTGTCAGTATTCTGATTAATCATCTCTCTCTCTCCTTTTCTTCCTTTCTCTATATATCTATATATAAATATTTTTTTAGCTCCTTTCCAAGTCACCACTAAGACATAAAAAGGGTTACTTTAAAAAAAGGCATGAATCCACAAGAAGAAAAGATAATAGCATGTTGGAAGTATTAAGAAAATCGTGGAAGTAAGAAAGAAGGTGAACAGGTAGAAATACGCTAATCAGAGCAAACATAAACCTAAGTCTGCAGTGAGGAGGCCTTAAGGACCATGCCTCAGAATGCTAGAAAGTTTCAGAAATTGGAGATACCAGGTTTCTTTTACAAAGATGGTGCTGAAACAGCAGGATTTGTTGAAATTCTTTTAAGTAGCAGTTAGATCTCCAGAGTCCCCTTACTAAACCTTAGAGCTTAGTTGTTATATCTTGCTACAAACCAATAAAAAGATTACAAATTAGAAGGACGTTCAGAGTTTGGTAAGGCTCATGTCACTGATGGCTTTAATGAGAGAGAGGTTTGGATGGAAGGATGGGAGAAAATTGAAACCTTGATGGGTTTAGGAGTGAGTGATGAAGAGGGACTCAGAAGGAGATAGTGAATAGTTGATGGAACAAGATTTTGGAAGAGAGAAGATTTGGAGAAAAGGGACTAGCTGGTCTTCTATAGATTTTTTTTTTTCCTTTGCACAAGGGAAGAAAGCAAAGATGGAGGAAGGTATTTGGAAAGGTATATTGGGAGATATTTCTAGGAACTTGCATAGTCTCCATTTGAGAACACAAGCATAAGATAAAAGGTTTAGAAAGAGAAACATAAGTTTGAATTAGCTATACAGGAAATCAAAACAGCAACCTACAGGCAACATTTTTCTGCCATATGTTATTGTTATCTTAAACAAAGAATGATACTTAAATTCACATAATATAGGTCACAAACTTTGGCCCATGGATAAAACTTCTTAACTTGAAAATATGCTATTAAAAAATTAGTTGCCAACATTTGGTTACTTAGCTACTTTTATTTTGAAAAATAATCCCATTTAAAAGCTTCTTGAAAGGCTGGATGATTTTACAATACTGACATACATTTTGGAATGTAACCGAGTGATGGGAAATTTCTCTATATGGGATAGGTATTCCTTAGCCGGCTTCACTAATTTATGTTACCTTTCTGACCTGGTAGTCATTTGAGTTTGACACCCCTGATAAAAGTCTCTGTCTCTTGAGTATCACCAAGTCATCTGTGTGAAATCGAGGTATGAGTATTATCTATATTTTTCAGTTTTCAGGAAAGGAATATAAGACATCACAAAAACTCCACCCTATTACTCTTACTCATAGGTTCAGAACTTCAGATGAAGTGAAGTTCCATTTCTAAAATAACTCCTATTTCTATGAATGTCTTCAGCAGTTGCTCCTGGACCTTCCAGGTTCATAAGAATTCATTCTCATAAACTCACAGAACAGAGTAAAACCACCATCTCTCAGGAATCCCCTCTGGCATCTGTTAAAGATCAAGCCAATCAATCTAAGATGACCAGCCCTCCCAGATTCAAATCTCTGAAATAGGGTTTGTTTGGTTTGGTATAAATTGACTATAAAATGCCAATCAAATAAGATGCCATACTGTTTTTATTTGAATAATAGTAATTACAGGATTGTTAGTTTATGTTCATTCTGTTTTCAAGAAATAATTCTTATCTGGTGACCCATTAATTAATTTGTAATGAATTTCCATCAAACTGTTTGTTTGATGAATATCAATGTTCTGAGAATCAGTTATCAAGTATGCTGTACAATCATGAGATAAAGGTCAATTGAGAAAAATACTAGATGTAGTCTTGGAAATTTTTGACTAGTGAAATCACTTCATTCAAGTGTGATTAAAAGTTGGTCATTAATTTAGAACTAAGAAATAACTATTAAACAAACAGCTTGTATCAGGAAAACAAATTCTTTCTAAACAATACCTCCATTTAATGACAAGAAAGTTCTCTTACTATGTAGCTATCTTGGTATTTTTCATCCTATGTATTTCTGCCATGTAGTCCTCAATTTTGGGAGGTGACATTTTCTTTTCTAATTAAATTACTTCCTTCCTATAAGGAAGTTCATAGGGCTTGGTTTGCTTATGTAGTTTCTCTTCTCTTTTCTTCATAACTTCTTGAAAGTGATTTTTCTCTGCTAACTTTTTATCTTTAAGTTCTTGGGCCTTGCATATTGCATCTTCTTTTTCTCGGATCTTTAGCTCTTCCTGCCACTGTTACAGAGAGAAAACGTCATTCACATGATTTTCCATGAAAAAATGCATATCAGTTTAGCTGCTCAAAATGCAGATTCTTATATCCAATTATCCTTTCAGGTTTTTTCCATGACATTCCTCAAAAATTTTATATCTACCACACTGGCAAAACACATGTGTCACCTATTAGAATGCATGTAAGTCCCACAAAGCAGAATTTCCTCAATATATTTAAAGACAAAAAAAAAAACAATAAAAAAGAAGACATTATAGGTTTTGTATTTCCATATTCCAAATGGTTTTACGTTCTTCATCAATATTGGTATTTACATGACAGCATGGGTTATAAAATGAAGAACGAGATGAAAGCAAAACAGAAAGAAAAAATACAGAAAATACAAATTAAACAGAAAGGCAAAAACTCTAATACTATTCTCTATGAAGTTAAAAATGAAATTAATGGTCAGGTAAATGCATACTATGCAGAAGGCCAGAAAAAAAGCTCTAAAGAATTTATCTTAATTGGCCATGATAATTTTTTTCTTTTTCTTTTGCTTTCACTTAGTTTTTCACTTTATAACCCATGATGTCATGTAAATAGTAGTATATTGGAAGGCAAGAGCCATAAGAATGAGTAACACGTAAGTAATGATAATCAATCAAACATCATCATGAAAAATATATATATATATATAATTAGGAGGAACTTTTTTTCTCTTCTAATACATTTGATGAAGGAAATGATAAAAACAGATGGTGAACACTTTATGTTGGGTAAAACATTCAGGGCAGAATGACTCCTAGTATGCAATATTGGACATTCCTAAAGATACTGCCAATGCTGTCTTTTTGTCAGCCTCAGCTCATGCATATACACAAATGATCAGTCTAAGATTATCAACCTATCAATTAATTTGTAGATTACTATATATACCAGTACTGTGAATCACAAATAACATTTGTCATCTGGGATATTCAGATAATAAAAAGCAGAGCTAAACATCAGAGTCCATAGCATGTCACTCAGCTTTGACGAATGCATTAAAATTGTGTATAATGTTAATATACTCATGTTAAACATTAAAAATAAAAGCATAATAATATCAAATCCATTATTTATTCCCAGGTGAGTTTTAACTACATAAGAAATACAAAAGTTAACTGCACTTATCTTAAGGCTGTATTTCTAAACAGTTATTTCTCATATGTTCGGTTTCTCAGGAACCAGTTTTGCATAAAATGTATGGGAAATTAAGGCAAAACCTCCAGAATAGTCAGGCACAGGCTGAAATTCATGCCATGGTTTAGTCTACAAGTTCTATGATACTCAACTATGACACATTATTTTTCTCATATAATAAACTAATAATCTAGTTGTTTAAGAAAATTACCAATTTTATTAGCATAGAAGTTATAGTTGGTATAATAATGACAGTATCTATAAACAAAGAGCACTAATCTATCCTGTATGAAATATTTCGATAGATCTCATTATTTTGTTTTTTAGGCTCAAACGCCTGTAATCCCAGCACTTTGGGAGGCTGAGGCGGGCGGATCACGAGGTCAGGAGATGGAGACCATCCTGGCTAACACGGTGAAACGCCGTCTCTACTAAACAAAATACAAAAAAAATTAGCCGGGCGTGGTGGCGGGTGCCTGTAGGCCCAGCTACTCGGGAGGCTGAGGCAGGAGAATGGCATGAACCCGGGAGGCAGAGCTTGCAGTGAGCCAAGGTCACACCACTGCACTCCAGCCTGGGCCACAGAGCGAGACTCTGTCTCAAAAAAAAAAAAAAAAAAAAAAAAAAAAATTGTGAAAAATCAAAAGAGAATTAATTCTTAAGAACTGCCAGCAAATTAAAATTCTTGGTTTGCCAAACAGCATGTATAAAAGCATCAGTACATATAAAAGCAGCCAAGAAGGGGTATCATATCATCACTGTCCAGAAGACAGCTCTTCCCTCTTTCCCCCTTCTTAGAATTTGGAATGGCTGAAATTCACCATAACATCAAAATCCTTCTTTTCATTAGGCTTAGGAAAAAGCATACTTTCTTTTTGTCTCTGGTGACCATGACAACAGATCAATTTGGGTAAATAATTGTATTTTTTTACTTTATATACCATTATTATTGTCTATTGTGGTAGCTAGAAGGAAGCAAAAAAATAGATATGTTTGAAATCTATGGGAAATGGAAGCACCATTTACTGCTTTATTCAACTTATTCACTCAGTGATTCAATGATCATGCTATGGAATACTAGCAATGTATAAGGTACCTTAATATCTCCTAAGCAATGAGGTATATTTTCTATTCCCTGCATATGATAACCCTTCAACAAAAGTCTGTTGGCTTAGAAGGAGAATTATATCTGTAGCTGAGGGGATGTGTTTTTGTTATTTGTCGATATTGCAGATCCCATCCTCCCACTTCTAATTCTGGTTAGGAATCATAAGCCAAGAACTTCAGCAGCTATGAAAAAGTGGAAGGGAAAGTAGATTTGGAGTAGGGAAATCTGTTTTTGGGAATAGACTCATTTACTTAAAACATTGAGCAAGTAACTGAATTGTAAGCAAGTTTGTTCTTATTTGTAAATGATTTATAGGGTTGTGAGGATTAAATTAACCACTGCAAGAGCATTTTTGTAAAGCATAAAGTATAAATACAAAACACTATTGCTACACCCATCTGAAAATAAGTGATATATACATGAATACTGAAAAAAATAAATATAATATTTAGAGACAATTCAATAAACCTTCCAAAATCAGTACTATGAATTACTAGTTTATTAGGCTAGCCGCACATCAAACAATTTGGATCTATAAGTTTTCAAGCATATTTTTGAAAAAGATTTATTTATCCTTCTTTAGCTACAATATAAGCAGGTTCATGGCAGTGATTACTTGGATAGTGCTTACACCCTTGGAAAAAGGAAAAGATGATGGATGGTTGTTAGGAGCTATCTCTGTATCTCTGTCATTCATAATACTCTCCTCTGTTTCTTTAGCCCTAGACAGACCAAAGTAGTTATTTATGCGTGCGTGTGTGTGTGTGTGTGTGTGTGTGTGTGTATGTGTATGTGTGTATGTGATGTTGGCAAACTGCTATTTCATAATCTCTTCTAGATAATTTAGTTGAAGTAATGAGTAGGAAAATATAGATGTTGAAATTTATAAACCATTTGAAATTTTTGAAGATGACCTGTACATATATTGGTTTAACAAAAACTTTATTAGTGAATAATAGAATATTGCAGCTCTCGTTTTGTCATTTCAAGGTATCAGTCAGTCTCCAAAGCCCAATACTTATAGCTGTTGCTAGAGTGGCTTAATTACTAGAGATGTGGTGAAAACTATTTAATGTGATCAGTAAATAAAATAATCTCT
Source organism: Homo sapiens (assembly GCF_000001405.40). Classification (NCBI taxonomy): domain Eukaryota; kingdom Metazoa; phylum Chordata; class Mammalia; order Primates; family Hominidae; genus Homo; species Homo sapiens. The sequence continues at coordinate 110,424,126 of NC_000005.10, forward strand.
TCACAAGATTACTACTTAAAAGTAGTGTGAAAAAATTAATTGTTAATTTAATTGCAATCTGAGAGATAATATTGAACTACTGGTGATAAAATTAAGTGCATTATATATGCTATATATTTTATTCAAAGAAAAAACCAGAAAAGCATTTTCTCTCATATTTTAATTCTACTCTTTAAAAGAACGAGGCATAAAATGATGTGTATTTGGTTAAGAAATTATCAACAAAATATAGCACAATGAATTAAAGTATCTTCTGTGAATAGTCTTGTATTGCCACTGCTTTTTAAACTCATACTAAGAACAAAGTGATTAACAGTCTTTCTGATCTGTCAAGGGTAAAGAACGGTCACTGAAAATTGAGCCAAAAGATTTTTGTTCTGTTATTAGAACTACACTGCAGAAGAAATCAGTGTTCAGTGTTCAATATAAGATTCTTGTCACAAGAAATCAGTACTAATTCAGAAAACAGGATTAGGTTAGTATTTTACAAATGACAGAAGGTCAAATTTTCTGCAACCCAATGAAGACACTGGTGTACAGATAACATAGTGAGATATAATTCAGTTTGGCAAACCAATCATGGCTCTACTTTTAAATTTCACATATTAAGGTTTCAGTCTCAGAACTACATTTTATCATTTAAAGTGCTTTTAAGGAACAAAGCTTTTGCTGCTAGTTAAAAAAAAATCAATCTTACGTGATGGTCAATGATTTTTGCCAACTCTTTATCTGCCTTGGTGAAGAAATCTGGATATGGAAACATGGGAATTTCTGATACAGAAGGATGTTCCCTTCAAAAGAGCACAAGAACAAATCCAACATTAGGTATAGGTACTCCTATTCCCCAGAAATAGAATTGTAACTAAGCCATAATTTATTATTAAGCATTTTGATTCTTCATTGTTAACATAAAGTATTTGTGTAGACTATGGTATGTTAGCTTTTAGGTTTTGTAAGCCATCTTGGGTCACTGAAACTGATAATTTTGAGGGTAGGACATGACATATAGGATGATTAAAGTGCATATCCCCATACACAGCTCCACAACCCTGAAAGTTCTGGTGGAAGCCTAAGCCTAAGAATTTGTTCTAAGATATGCTGAAAAAAATGATGTGATTTCAATACATTTCCAAAGTCTTTGTATTACTAAGGGTGGAATTGTGGTAGACAGATTAGCATAGTTCAGTGAAATTGTTGGCAGTACAAAGCTGGACCTCAAACTAAGGGAGACTTAGTGTTAAATTATCCACATAATTATTGTATTATTAAAGTCATTATGAAGAAATTGTGTGAATCCAGGAACACTTAAAGTAATACAGTGATAGAAGGTGGTTTTGAGGGTGGGAAAGTGGGGGTAAAGGAGAAAGTCTTAGGGAAGAGCCTAAAAAGAGGCAGCCAGTGAGAAATTTCCATATTCAAAAAAGTCTAGTCAATTTTTAAGACTGGAACTAATTTTTTTCTGGTTTCTGCCTTTCCCATTCCAGTGTACTCTACATTCTTGACACCCGACAGTCCCCTCATTTCATCAGGTTCTGTTTGTCTATTCTGCACTAAAGGCTTCTCAAATCTTCCCAATTACCTTCATCTCCACCATCACTTCCCGAGGCCAAGCCACCATAATCTCTCACCTGGATGAAGGCTTCATGTTCAGAATTCCTGCATCCATCATTCCTTACCCACTTTACTCTTGTCTCTATACAGTAGCCAGAATTGTTTTCAAAATACAAAGTAGATCATGTCAATCTCCTACATCAAACTGTTCATTATTTCTCCATTAGCTTTAAGATTAAGATTACATTTGTTAAGGAAGCCTGAAGTAAACTGTGCATTTGTTAAAGTGGTTTTGCCTGGTTTCTCCAGACTTCTTTCTTTCCTTTGCTTGCTTGGGTCTATGCATCCCTAATGCACAGGCTTTCTTGCAGTTGCTGGAATGTAGGTTGTTCCATCCCACTGTTGCTTGTTTTCACATGCTGTCATTTCTTTCTCTTATGCCTTTCTCTTTCTCCTTCTTCTAGCCCTGCTGCAGGGCTGGTTAATGCCTACTCACCCTTCAGCTCTCAGTTCAAGCCCATTACCATAGCTCTCAATCTACCATGGATATTTTCTTCCTTATACTTACTTCAAGTTGTAATTTTACATTTATCATGTCCCTGTGTGAGTTTTATGTTTTCCTGAGTAGAGTATGAGCTACATGATCATGGATACTTTTGCCTGTTTGCTTACCATTGTTTCCTCAGTGCCCAACACAGTGCCACTAGATATTTAATGAATGTTTGTATGTTTGCTGAATGATTAAATGAATAAATGAGAACTATGATATGCTTTAATACTCTTGATTTTCCAAGCCATCAGTAAGAGTCTACCACACAACACTCTTGTGTTAGTGGAGTAGTATCCAGTATTGCAAATGGAGGGCAATCTCAGGAGACATGTTGAGAGTAGAGTTGACAGTAGGAGTTCAAAAGAAAACAATGGAAGTTACAGGCAACCAGGAAAAATGGAACCCTCTCCCAACTTAATTAATATTCAGAAACATTGTGTGGGAGAAAAGCACTGAGCTTCTTAATGCATGCAGAATAGGGCCTTTAGCCATTCTATTAAAGTACTGTATTACAGAAAAATATGATCCTAGAAAGCTGGGGACATGTAGAGGCTGACAATTGGTTTAACTAAATTCATTCAGTGAAATTTGGGCAGTTTTGGTATTCAAAGAATTGTGCCAAATGCTATAAAAAGATAAATAAAACAGAATCTTAAAATCATTTTAAGGTTAAAAGTGTTCAAGCAAATTGCCTAAAATTTTTTCTTGAACAAGAATTGTTTAAGTTTTAAAAAATGTAGGCAACATAATATCAAAAGACCTTTAACATGGGAAAAACAAATGAATATGCTTATACATCTGTGATTTCTTAGTTACCTCAGTTGAATTTTGTGCTAGAAAATAAAAAATTATAGAGAACATAATGAAAGATAACACGAGAGAAGTAAACATTCAGGGATAGAAACAGAAAAAATATATAGTAAAATGTCTAAGCATATAGGCTCTCTACTTAGGCAAATCTCAAAGCAAATTCTGGTTTTACTACTTAGTGTTATTTAATCCCTCTGTTCTTCAGTTTCTTCATCCGTAATACTGAAAAATAATAGCACCTGCCTTATTGTTTTCACAAGGAATAAGAAGGAATTAGATATAAATCAAACATTAAACAAGTTTCAGCTGCAATATCTTTATCATATTCATTGTCAAAAGAATTCAGAGGAAAAAGCCATGGTGTTTAGCTGTATTATCAATTGTAAGAAAAAGGAATGGAGGACTAGACAATTTTGTCGGCATTAAATGAGATGTAGAATTTTGACATTTGAAGTTAAATGAACAGTAGAGAGAGACTTTTCAAGAAAGATGGTATACTAGTTTCCGAGGGCTACTTTAACAAATTACCACAAACTAGGAGGCTTAGATAAACAGAAATTCATTCTCTCATAGTTCTGGAGGAAAAAAAATTCTAAATCAAAGTGTTAGCAGTCTTGGATACTCCAGAAGCTTTGGGGAAAAATTTATTCCTTGCCGCTGTTAGCTTCTAGTGGCTGTTGGTTCTTTGGTATTCCTGGGCTTGTAGATACTTCACTCCTGTCTGTGTCTCTGTCTCCACGTGGCTTTTTCCTTCTGTGACTCTGGGTGTCTTCTACTGTTCTTTTTCATACAATGACATTTAATTTTTTGTTTTTTATTTTTTTGGGTACACAGTAGGTGTATATATTTAAGGGGTATATGAGATGTTTTGATACACACATGTAATGCATAATAATCACATCATAGAGAATGGGTTATACACACCCTGAAGCATTTATCCCTCATGTTAGAAACAATCCAATTATACTTTTTTAGTTATTTTAAAATGTACAATTAAGTTATTGTTAACTATAGTCACTCCATTGTGCTGTCAAATAGTAGGTCATATTCATTCTTTTGATTTTTTGTACCCATTAACCATTCCTACCTTTCCCCCAACCCCCTACTTTCCTTCCCAGCCCTGGTAACAATCCTACTCTCTATGTCCATGAGTTCAATTGTTTTGATAGCTTAAGGACATGTTTTATAAGGATACTGTCATTGAATTTAAGGTCCACAAAAGCAAGATAGCCTTAACATTCCCCTCAGTTTCCCTAAACTTTAGACAGGCCTCTGACCTCACTTTCCTTAGCACAATATTCACTTTAGAAAACTTTCAATTGTAAATTTTCTGTCTGCACTTTTGAGATATAAATATTCTCCCATCCTCTTGGTAGTTTTATAACACAGGAATTTCTTTCTCAATGACCTGGAGCCATCTCTTTGAAAGATATCCTCAAGGAAGATAGCCACCATCTGCCCAGTCTCTGTGGGAGGTCTAGGAGCCTAACTTAGGTAAGTGACAACAGCAAACACATCAAATTGACCTAATCACATGAATCAACATACTTTCTAATGTGCTCCAGTATGTTTCCACTAGCTAACCCCAGCACTTACATATCCTCCTGTCTTTTTTTTTTTTTCCCCAGAAGAGTTGAGTTTAATTTCTCTCCTCCACTGCAATAGTCTTGAATAAACTCCTCTTTGGCTGCTTAATTTGTCCAGTACAACTTTTCTTTGACACATTATAATTCAGGATAATCTCATCTCGAGATCCTTACTTTAATCACATCTACAAAAACTCACTCTCTCTCCAAAGAAGGTCATATTTATAGGTACAAGGGGTTAAGACTTAGTCATATCTTTTGGGGAAAACAAACCTGGTACAGATGACAAAACAGGAACAAAGGCTCAGGAAAAGAAAATAAATAACTCATTTCAGAAAATGTATGTAGACTGAGATGGCTGGGACTGAGATTACATTGAAGTGAAGAGGAGCTGACTAATTTATTCATGTATTCAAACATTTATTGCAAGGGGAAGTTGTTATTAGGAGTGGGAAAAAATAATAAGAAGAAAAAGCTTAGATTCTTCTCTCCAGAAACTTGAAGTTCACATGGGGGAAGACATATAAACAGCCATTCACGGTATACCGGGAAAATGGCTGCAAAATATGTTTCTTTCGAGTAGAAAGGTGGGGAGCTGGCATCATTTAACTTAGTCTGAGAGTGGGTAAGAGAGATCTACCTGGATGGATTATGCAAGATTGTCCCAATAGGATGATGATTAGATTCATGAAAAGATACATATAGGACATGTTCAGTTTCTTTAACAGTTCAAGGATGAGAAATGTGCAAAGATATTTACAAGAAAAGGGGGGATAATATATTTCTTTATGCAGAATTATGGTTTTTCAAGTCTCCAAAGCTCTCCTGAAGACATACTGGTAAAAAGTGAGTGTCCCGTTAGGCAGGAGATATTCCCCAGGAGCAGGAGACATGCATAGGTTTCAGGCTTCTTTATTCCTACATCTCACACCCTCACCTAAGATCTGGCTTGGAAGCATCAGTTGAGCAGATAAAATATTGTTTTTATCTCAGGAAAACTAAAATAAATAACCATTGGAATTATCCAATGAGGGGAAGATATTTTATCAATTAAACAAACCCTAGAACTCCATTCTTAACAATTGAATGTCTTCCCCCCTTATCCCACTTTTTGAGGAAAACTGGGTACCATAGACTCACTGGTTGGTATGGCTTTTCTCAGTATATTTAGTCTCCTTTTTGAGATTCATCATAGATTAATGACCTCTCACTGATTTCAAACACAACTTGTTCTAATTAATTGTGTACATTGTTTGGAACCTTACCTTTTAATTATTTGGCTACCATAACCTTTTCTTTAGCTAACTTTCTTGTCTTAGTTCTATTGCAATTTCTTCCGATGAAGGCCTTACTTTCTGAAGGCAAGAAGTCCATGATATAGACACTGTCCATGGAGCCTTGATTTCTTTTAGAAGAGAATGATAGTAGAAACCTCAATCTGGAATATGTGGTGGTATATTGGATGATTCCCCAAAACTTCTGGAGTTAAGAGGGATGATATCAGAAAAAAAAAACTAATTAAATCATTCTATAGCATAAGAAAAATCATCTTATATCAAAATATCATAAGTTCATGTTACTTTTGATTAAATTAACTTTCTTTTTAACTTTCTCTAAGAGCTTATTGCTCAAAGTTTTCTCTCGTTTAATTAGCTTTGTGGTATTATACTAAAGAGGGTCAATCATATTATGTATTGAAGTTGCACCTACCATCTCCAATACTTAGACGTTTCCTTTTTTTTTTTGTTCTCAGAGCCCAAATAGGTTAATATTCAGATTGTCACCTTAATACTATCCCTGAAGCAATAATTACTTGAAAGGAAAATAAATTCCTTCCTCTCTTCAAGGTAAAGTTAAAATATATGCAGTTTCAAAAGAGCTACTATTTCAGATAGAATAACATAAAATCAGCAAACAATAGCAATAGAACTTAACAATACAGACAAATAAATGCCTTTGAGGGTTTCTAAAAATATGTTTTTGTTTTCCTCTAAAATTTCACTTAGTTTTTTTCCCATGGTCACTAGTGTCATAATCATCGATCATGGGAATTTTTATGTTAAATTCTAATTTATTATAAACATTTGAATAAATACAATCTCAGTATTAAATAAAATTTTCAATAACCTTTAGGATTTCTGTTTGTCACTAAAGTGATAGCTTGCAGCAGATCAATGACCTGACAGATAACAAATGCTATGAGAGCCAAAGATTATTTTTAAAAATCTGTTTAAAAGCATTCATGATACATTAAGCAACAGGATTTGAAAGGCCAATGTATCAGAGAGGAAGGACCTGGAGAAGTAAGTAATGAGCTGCAAAATATACTTCTCCTTAGAGCATTTATCCTTTTATTTTATGGATTGAAAAGTGAAAAATCCCGGCAGAGAAATTTTGATCAGAACTTGAGAAGCCAGGAGAGTACTTGGCAATCTTACAGGGTTGACAAAGCAAAAAAGAGTTTAGAGCTGCCGAGGTAGCCAGGACTTGAAGGATCAAGCTCAAGAGAAGTGAGCACCACACACACCACTAAGTTTCCCCCCAAGAATGTTCTAAAGTATTAAACTGAGAAGGCTAAGAAGCCAAGCAAAGAAGTCACCAACAAGCAGAGTGGAATTTTTCAGAAACTTTACAGTTTCTGAAAATTTGGGGCTCAAATCTACAAAACGAGAGAGGCCTTGATGAACACCTCAGGCTCTCCATTGGGACTCCTGAAAATTTACACTCTGGCGTTATGTTTGAATCACATGTAGATTTAACTTAAAAGTTAGATAATCCTGGAGTCAGTTCAGCTACTGGTTAGATGAAAATGCTCTGCCATCAATCAAGATGCATAGCAGAAGAAGGTGAACTGTCTTTCTGCTGTACATAGTATGAACCAGGAGTCTTTGTCATTTTTAATACAAAAAATCCAGAATTCAATAAAAAATGATAAGGCATACTGGGCAAATCTCACACACAGAAGGTTTATATTGGAGTTACAAATATGGACTTTAAAATAACTATGATAAGTATATTTAAATAAATAGCCAGGTGAAGAATTTTGCTAGAAAACTGGAATCTATCTTAAAATTCACATATTACTTATAGAATTGACAAAAAAAGCAGTAAGTGAAATTAAGAAGTTGGTAGGTGTATATAACAGCAGATTAGACATAGCAGAAAAGAAGATTGGTGAATTGGAAGATAGGGAAACAGAAATATCTAGGCTGAAGCAAGGGAAAAAACAGGCAGAATATATAGAAAAGAACAGCAGAGACATATATGAGAATGTTCCTAGCAGCATTGTTTGTATAATATAAAAAGAGAAATGAATCAAATATTTACCAATAGTTCAAGGGATAAATTTTGGTAGCTTTATAAAATGGAAATACTTTAAGTATTTAAAAACTTTAAATACTTGAGCTACAGTAAGTGAAGTCCAGATGCAACCACATAGAATAGTTTGGACACAAAATATTTTTTTGTAGAAGTAGAGAGGTTGACATGCAGATACAAGCAATCCAGAGAACTCTTGTGAGATACTATATAAGGTCACCATCCCCATGGCAAATAGTCAACAGATTATCCAAAGTCAATAAGAAAGAAAAATTTTTAAAGGTAGCGAGCAAAAAGGGTCATATTGCCTGTAAAGAGAAACCCATCAGACTAACAGAACCCTTATTAGCAGAAGCCTTACAAACCAGAAGATATTGGGGGCCCACATTTAGCATTCTGAAAGAAAATAAATGCCAGTAAAGAATTTCAAATCCTGCCAAACCGAGCTTCATAAACGAAGGAGAATGAAGTTTTTCCCAAACATGCAGTTTCTAAGGGAATTCATCACATCTTAACTGGCCCTCCAAAAAATGCTTAATAGAGCTCTAAACATGGGAAGGAAAGAACACTTGCTCCCACAAAAGCACATGCAAGCACACAACCCACGGTCCCTACAAAGCAAGTACATAATCGAGACTACCACACAACTAGCTAACAACACTATGAAAGGAACAAAGCCTAATATTTCAATATTAATCTTGAAGACAAATAGCCTAAATGCTCCACTTACAAGACATAAAGTTGCAAATTGGATTAAAAACAAAACAGACACATTCTTCTGCTGTCTTTAAGAGACAAACCCACCTCACACATAATGATATGCATGGGTTCAAAGTAAAGGGATGAATAAAGACCCACCACACTACTGGAAAACAAAAAGGAGGAAGAGCTACTATTCTTAAATCAGATAAAATTAACTTTAAACCAACAACAGTCAAAAATGACAAAAAAGCATGACATAATGATAAAGGGTTCAATTCAACAAGAAGACTTAACTATCCTAACTATATATGCACTCAATATTGGAGCACCCGGCTTTATAAAACACTTACTTCTAGCCTTAAGAAAATACTCTGATAGCCACAAAATAATAGTGGTGTACTTAAACACCTCACTGATATAATTAGATAGTTCATCAAGGCAGAAAACTAAGAAATTATAAATTTAAATTTGACACTTGACCAATTGGACCTAATAGACAACTACAGATTACTCCACCCAACAACGACAGAATAGACATGCTTCTGATCTGCATATGGAACATACTCTAAGACTGACCACATGCTCAATCATAAAGCAAGTCTCAATAGATTTTAAGCAAAATTATATCAAGCATCCTTCTTGGACCACAGTGGAATAAAAATATAAGTCAATACCAAGAAGAACTCTCAAAGCCATAGAAATACATTGAAACTAAACAACTTGCTCCTGAAGAACATTTGGGTAAACAATGAAATCAAAGTAGAAATAAAAAGTTCTTTGAAACAAATGAGAATAGAGGTACAACATACCAAAAACTCAGGGATGCATCAAAAACAGGAAAGTTTATATTGCTAAATGCCTACATCAAGAAGATAGAAAAATCTCTAACCACCTAACCTCATACCTATAAGAACTAGAAACATAGGAACAAACTAAACCCAATTCTGTTTAGGATTTATGTTTTTCTGTTTAGGATTTATGTTTTAGGTTTTGAAGGATGTTCCTTTGATGCTTAGTTTGTTGAGAGATTTTTCATGAAGAGATGTTGGATTTTATCAAATGCATTTGCTGAATTTATTGTTCAATGGTTATGATCAAATCGTTTTTAAATTTTAATTCTCTTTATGGATGAATCATATTTATTGACTTCCATATGTTGAACCATCTTAAATCCCAGGAATAAAGCCCACTTGATCATGGTGAATTAACATTTTGATGTGCTGCGGGATTTGGTTTGCTAGTATTCTGCTGAGGATTTTTCTATCTATGTTCATCAGGGATATTAGCCTGTAGTTTTCTTTTTCTGTGATGTCTTTGCCAGATTTTGGTATCAGGATGATACTAGTATTATAGAATGAGTTAAGGAGGTATCTTTCCTCCTTGATTTTTTGGAAAAGTTTAAAAAGAAACTAAAGTCAGAGCAGAAGAAAATAAAATAAATGAAAGCACAAGAAAAGAAATAACTAAAATCAGAGCAGAACTAAATGAAATTGAGACCCCCCCAAAACATGCAAAGAATAAATGAAAAAAAAAAACTTGGTTCTTTGAAAGGATAAATAAGATTATTGATAGACTGCTAACTAGATTAAAAAAGAAAACAGAGAAGATTCAAATAAGCAAAATCAGAAATGACAAAAGGTGACATTGCAACTGATCCCACAGAAACACAAAAATGCTTAGAAACTACTGTGAACATCTCTATGCACAGAAACTAGATCTAGAGGAAATGAATAAATTCCTAGAAAAAACACAATCTCTCAAGATTAAGCCAGGAATAAACATAAATCCTAAACAGACCATTAAAACGTTGAATAAGTAATAATAATAATAAACCTACCAACCAAATAGCCCTGGACCAGATGGATTTACAGCCAAGTTCTACCAGATATACAAAGAAACTGGTACAAATGCCACTGAAACTATTCCAAAAAATCGAGGAGGAAGGACACCTCCCTAACTCATTCTATAATACTACTATCATCCTGATACCAAAATCTGGCAAAGAGAGAAAAAGAAAACTACAGACTAATATCTCTGATGAACATAGATAGAAAAATCCTCAGCAAAATACTAGCAAACCAAATGCGGCAGCACATCAAAATGTTAATTCGCCATGATCAAGTGGGCTTTATTCCTGGGATTCAAGACGGTTCAACATATGCAAGTCAATAAATGATTCATCACATAAAGAGAAATTTAAAAATGATTTGATCATAGCCATTCATCAATAAATTCAGCAAATGCATTTGATAAAATCCAACATCCCTTCATGAAAAATCTCTCAACAAACTAGGCATCAAAGGAACATCCCTCAAAACCCCCAGCCAACAACCTACTGAATGGGCAAAATTGAAAGCATTATCACTAAGAAGTGGAACAAGACAAGAATGTCCACTCTCAGCACTCCGATTCAACTGGAAGTCTTAGCCAGAGCAATCAGGCAAGAGAAAGAAATAAACATCATTTAAATAAGAAAAGAGAAAGTCAAATTATTTCTCTTCACTTATTGATATGACTCTTCATGTAGAAAACTTTTCTGATTCCACCAGAAGGCTCCTAGACCTATTAAACAACTTCAGGAAAGTCTCAGGATATAAAATCAATGCACAAAAATCAGTAGTGTTTACTTTAAGTTTTTTAATGTTTAAAAATTTAAACATTTAATGTTTAAATGTTACTTTTCTAATGTTTAAATTTTTATTTTTTGTGGGTATATACTAGGTATATATACCTATATGGTACATGAGATATTTTGGTACAGGCATGCAATATGTAATAATTACGTCATGGAAAATGGATTATACATCCCCTCAAGCATTCCTTGGATTGTGTTAACAATTCAAATATGTAGAATTAAATAATTATTGAGTATATATCTCCTATTGTGCTATCAAGTACTAGGTATTATTCATTCTTTCTAATTTTTGTACCCATTAATCATCCCCACTCCCCTCCCGACTTCCCCTCTACCCTTCACTACCTCTGGTAAACATCCTTCTATTCTTTATCTCCATGGGTTCAATTGTTTTGATTTTTAGATCCCACAAATGAGTGAGAACATGTGATGTTTGTCTTTCTGTGCCTGGCTTATTTCACCTAACATGATGAACTCCAGTTTCATCCATGCTGTTGCAAATGACAGGATCTCATTCTTTCTTATGGCTGAATAGTACTCTATTGTGTATAAGAATGATATTTTCTTTATCCACTCATCTGTTGATGGACACTTGGGTTGCTTCTAAACCTTGGCTATTGTGAACAATGCTGCAACAAATATTGGAGTGTAGATAACTCTTCTATATATGGATTTCCTATTTCTTGAGTATATATCCAAAGTGAGATTGCTGGATCATGTGATAGCTTTACTTTTAGTTTTCAGAGGAAGCTCCATAGTGCTCTCCATAGTGGTTGTATTAATTTACATTCCTACCAATACTTGCAAGGGATCCCTTCTCTCCACATCCTCTCTAGCATTTGTTATTGCCTAATTTTTGGATAAAAGCCATTTTAACTGGAGTGAAGGGATATCTCGTTGTAGTTTTGATTTGCATTTCTCGGATGATTAATGGTGTTGATCACCTTTTCATATGCCTCTTTGCTATTTGTATGTCCTCTTTTGAGAAATGTCTATTGAAATATTTTTTCCTATTTTAAATCAGATTATTGGAATTTTTCTATAGAGTTGTTTGAGGTCCTTCTTTATTGTGGTTATTAATGCCGTGCCACATGGTAGTTTGCAAATATTTTTTCTTATTCTTTGAGTTGTCTCTTCACTTTGTTGACTGCTTCATTTGCTGTGCAGAAGTTTTTAAACTTTATATGATCCCATTTGTCCACATTTCCTTTGGTTGCCTGTGCTTGTGAAGTATCACTCAATAAATTTTTCCCTAGACCAATGTACTGGAGAGTTTCCTCAATGTTTTCTGTTAGTAATTTCATAGTTTGAGGTACTAGACTTAAGTCTTTAATCCATTTTGATTTGATTTTTGCATAAGGCAAGAGATAGGGATCAAGTTTCATTCTTCTGTATATGGATATCCAGTTTTCCCAGCACCATTTATTGAAGAGAGTGTCTTTTCCCCCAACGTATTCCTGGCATCTTTATTGAAAATGAGTTCACTGTAGCTATGTGGATTTGTTTCTGGGCTCTCTACTCTGTTCCATTGGTCTGTTTGTTTTTATGACAGTACCATGCTTTTTTGGTTACTATAGCTCTGTAGTATAATTTGAAGTCAGGTAATGTTATTCCTCGAGTTTTGTTCCTTTTGCTCAGGATGGCTTTGGCTATTCTGGGACTTTGTGATTCTATATAAACTTTAGAATTTTTTTTCATATTTCTGTGAAGAATGTCATTGGTATACTCATAGGGATTGCACTGATCTGTAGACTGCTTTGGGTAGTATGGATGTTTTAACAATATTAATTCTTCCAATCCATGAACATGAAATATCTTTTCATTTTTTGTGTCTTTTTCAATTTCTTTCATCAGTGTTTTATAGTGTTCATTGCAGAAATCTTTTACTTCTTTGGTTAATTCCTATGTATTTAATTTTATTTGTAGCTATTATTAATGGGATTGCTTTATTGATATATTTTTCAGATTGTTCATTGCTGGCATATAGAAATGCAGTATACCCATGTAACAAGCCTCCACATGTAATCTAAATCTGGATCTAAAACAAAATTATAGAAAAAAACATACAGTGTAATTTTATTTATAAATATTCAAAACAATATAAAAAATACAATTTTAAAGATGCATATATTTATGAAAGGCTATAAAGAAAAGCAACAAAATGAATTAAACATTTCAAGATAGTTGTTCCTTCTGTAAGGAAGGGAGAGCCAAGTGATTAGGGAAGGATATGAAAAGAGTTTCCAGTTTCAGTAATACTTATTTCTTAATCTGAGTGGTGAGAACTTTGGTGCTAGTTTTATTATATTATTATCATTACTACTAGTACATGCATATTATATACTTCATATATATTACACAGTTAACAATTAAAAAGAAAAACATAGGTAAGAAGCATATTTTAGTATGAATTAAATGTTATGAAGCACCAGTTTTCCTTCTATAATAACTGCATAATTACCAAGAACAAGAGCTACAAAGGCACTTTTGTATAGGTAATTTGATGAATACGAAGAATAAGATCTTTAAGTGTAAAATACAGTTATGACAAAATCCAATCAGGCTGGCCATATATTGGGCTTGCTTCTTGTACCTAGATAGGGCCAATATTAATTGCCTAAGGAATATCTCAGGTGCTATTACTCAAACTATCCCAAAGAATTTAATAAACTATCTACTAAGAGGCTGGTAGTCCTGAAGGTTTTCAGTGGATAAGGTAGCATCTCTGTTTAGCCAGGCAGCAGTACTATCTGAAGCTACTGTGTGGCCCCATCCCCAGGCTTTCTAACATTTCTTGTATTAAGGTTTCCGGCCTCACAGGCTGGGGACACCAAGGAACTTGATCTCACCTCAGTGTGCCTCAAGGCAGAGGTCTGTTTTTTTCCCTTTTGGGCATTCAGTATTTTGAGTAAATTCAACTCCAAACCTGCTTTCTCATCTTCCCTTTTCTTAGGCTTTTTTTCTCCTATACCAACTGGGTTTGACACTACATCATATTCCTCTGCCTTCCTTCAGCTTGGTCAGGTTTGGGCTGTGTCTGCTCAGAAATATAGAGGGGCAAAACCTACCTGTGGCTTTAAGGCCTAACTTGGCTCTGCCTCTCCAGGTCCCAGCGAAGGGCCACTTAAATTACCTCTCCATTCTCATGATCTGAGTGCAGAGATTACTAACAAATTGTGATGCTTTTTTTCATTAAGAAAATAGATTTGCCCTCCACTTAACATTGTTCATCTAATGTCACGCTACTTTCTATAAGGTTCTTTTATTTTCTATATTATTTATCCATATTTTACTAGGGTGGTAAGGGAAAAGAAAAACAACCCCTTTCCTATCATGCATTTACTTTCCGCAAGCAGAATTTGCAGAAACCAAGACCAGAAGTCAGAATTCAAACGGACCAGAACTATTCCAAGGCTTTCAAAGTCCCTGAATATGTCGTCAGTTCCTCCCCTACAACTCAGTTCAAAAACGACAGTTTATCATTAACAAAATTAGATCTGAAGTAGAGCCATCTAATTCTTCGGTAGTATTTCTCCCAATTCCATTTCATTTCAGTATTCTTAGAAACCATGGATCATCCTGGAAACTAAAAGTTTTCAAATCCTTAGAGACTCATTTAACTATAACTTTCACACTCAGAACTCCACCTGGTCAGATGTATTCTCTTATGCATCTTAAAGCAGGAGGTTAAAAAATAGATAATTTTCTGGGCACATAAATAAGATATTTTTATCTCAATTGAATAATTCTGATTTTCTGTTTTGGAGGACTGATTGGTACAAGTAATAAGTCATACCTGACTATAGTTCAAACATTAGATTTACTGTCTTTAACCCTCATTAGCTTGCCCAAATCACAAAGCCTCAAGATTACAGCTGCCTATAAAGCACAAGATTTAAAGCACAAATATTTACAAGAAAGTTATACAAAGTTAAAAAAAATCTAACACTGAAACAGTTTCCTTGGCTACTTTTTAAAGGGAAGTTAGTAAAGAACTTGCTCTCAACTTGACTATTATTTTTGCCATTACCTACTCCCACATTAAAAATATATTGTAACTATTTAATTAATCTCGTTTTATAGTTCCTTGTATTTTAAAACATTCTAGAGATGCAGTCTGCTCACTGAGAGTTAAAATATTGTTCTGATGTCACCCCTCCAACATCTACAGCCTGGGCAATTATCCCATTTCTGCTTGGCATGAAGAACTGCCAGTCAAGGGCAGGCTCCAGGGTCCTTGGGCTTCTGCCATTCCTAGTGATCCCATCCCAAGGGGCTCTGTCTCAGACACTAGCTTCTACAGTTTCAGTCTCGCTTTTCCTTGCCAGCCTGTCTTTTGATCTGGTGGTTTCCATATACAGTTCCTGTTGGAAAGTTTCAGGTGTCGCTTTCAGATTGTATAGAGACTGGCAAAGCAACTAAGAAACTCAAAAAGTCAAGACTTTTTGCATTTTAATTCTTTTTCAATTCACGGAGTCAAAATACCCAGTGGCTATGTTCCACCGAAGCAATTCCTGCCCCATTCGCAGACACAGAATTTTATAGTCCTGGGCCAAGAATGATCTGCTGTCACCCTAGCATTACAGAATCATTGTCTACTGCAGTTTATCTAAAATTCTCTATATTAACCTATAAATTAGGATCAACGTCTTTTCATCAATGCCATAGCAGATATTAATCTGTGTGGTTATCACAACAGGACTGTGATGTGACTGATGTAAAAGACATGCCAAATGACACAGTAAAATTTTGTTATGCAAATGGTTTCACAAAGTAGGAGAAAACATAATGTGCCCCCAGGCAGAGGATTGGCTCCAGAATACCTCAGAAATAAATCTGGAAAGATGAGTAGGAGTTAGTATAAAGCTAGTGGGAATAATGATGCATATGACTTAAGTGAGTAGATGTATCAAAGTGTCCTTTAAGAGATAAGGTTGGTGGAGAACAAGTGTAACTTCTATTTTTAATATGTTGCTTAAGTGTCTTCTTACACCAATTGAAACTGGTTGCTCCCTAAGCCTGCTGTGTTGCCATTCTGCTGGAAATACTCCGTTCTCACCTCTGTTCTCTGTTAGGATCACTGCTTTCTGTACGCCACTATGTTCTTTTTCCTTGATTTATCCCCTTCATCTGGGGGCATATATTCTTAAGAAGCTTCTTAAGACATGGTGAATAGACAGTACACAATCTGAAACCTTTTGATATTTGAAATGATATTTCAAATATGGAAAGATATTTGAAAATGTCTTTATTCTACCCTCATATTTGATAGATTGGGGGCAGACATATATTCAAGTATCATTTGTTATCTCAACTCTTACTACTCAATTTGAAGAAGAGAATAGATTCTGAAAAAAATTTTTGTATGAAATGTTTTCTATTTTCCAAATGCTATGAACCAAATATATTTGAAGAACTAGGCATATTTATAATTCTATAGTGGATGTTACTTTTCCTCAGTGTATTGAGGCAACCTACGCACTATCTTCTTGCCTCTGGTGCTGCTTTTGAGTCCAATGCCATCCTGATTTTCAGGCGTGTATAGTTTCATCCACTTATTTATTGCTAATTTTCTCAACAGACAAATGCTGAAATCTCAACAAAGCATATGTTTGCTTCTTGCTCACATGTCCGATGCAGTTCAATAGAAGCTTGCCTCCATCTGATGACCTAGGAATCTAGGCTCTTTCCATGTTTTAATACTGCCATCTCAACATGTGGCTTTCAAGGTCATTTTGACTGAGGAAGGAAGATGTGGAGAAGACTCAGTGGCTCCTAACTGCTTTGACGCAGGTATGTCACTTCTGTTCATGGTTCTTGCCAAAAAATGCAAGTCTCTGGATCCAGGGTTTCTGGATCTTGACCATATTGATATTTGGGCTTAGATACTGCTTTGCTGTGGGGGTTGTCCTGTACCTTGTGAGACATTTAGCAATAGCTCTGGCCTCTGCCCACTAGATGTCAGTAACATCCCCTACTATGATAATCGAAGATTTCTATTGACAAGGTCCCTTGAGAGACAAAATTACCCATGGTTGAGAAGCACTACCCTAACATAATTGCAAGGAAATCTTCCAGGAAAAGTTAAGAAACACATGAAATGTTATATGATTGCTAATGTTCTCTGTCTCAGGAAGTTTCAAGTTTCCTTTTTCCTAGTTCTTCCATGTTCACAGTGAAGTGCGGGGAGACAGATTTCCATGATGGCACCAATAATCCCTGCCTCCTAGAACTCATGCCCTTGTGTAAGTCCTTTTCCCTGAGTATGGGCTGGCCTAAGGACTTGCTTCTAACCTAATTGTTAGAAGACTACAGACTATGACAAAGATGATGATATAGCGTTTCTATAATTGTGACTTCTGTCTTACTAGCTAACTCTTAATTCTTGGCTTTTATGCTGTGATAAATTGAGTTGCCTTACTGGAGAAGCCTACAAGCAATGGAATGAGGATGGACTTTGGCTAACAGCCAGAGAGGTGCTAAGGTTCTCAGTCTAACAGTTTACAAATAACTAAATTTATAACTAACTAAATAACCACCCCAGTTTTACTGGGATGGTCCTCATTTTTCCTCCATGTTTGAAGGATATTTTCACTAGATATACTATTCTAGAGTAAAAGGTTATTATTAGTTTTTTTTTTCCTTTAGCACTTTAAACATGTCATGCCACTCTCTCCTGGCCTGTAAGGTTTCCACTGAAAAGTCTGTTGCCAGAGGTATTGGAGCTCCATGTATGTGGCTTCTTCTCTCCTGCTGCTTTTAGGACACTTTCATTATCCTTGACCTTCAGGAGTTTGTTTATTAAATGCCTTGAGGAAGTCTTCTTTGGGTTAAATCTCTTGGTGCTCTATTACCTTCTTTTACTTGAATGTTGATATCTTCTCTAGGTTTGGGAAGTTCTATGATATATCTCTTTGAATATACTTTCTACCCCTATCTCTTTTTCTACTTTCTCTTTAAGGCCAATAACTCTTAGATTTCCCCTTTCGAGGTTATTTTCTACATCTTGTAGGTAGATACTCATTCCCTTTTATTCTTTTTTTCTTTCATATCCTCTCATCACTGATTTTCAAATAGTCTGTTTTCAAGCTCACTAATTCTTTCTTCTGCTTGATCAGTTCTGCTATTAAGAGACTCTGATGCATTCTTCAGTATGTGAATTGATCAACTCCAGAATCTCTGCTTGATTTAAAAAAATAATTTCAATCTTTTTGTTAAACTTATCTGATAGAATTCTGAATTCCTTCTCTGTGTTATCTTGAATTTCTTTGAGTTCCTCAGCACAGCTATTTTTAGTTCTCTGTCTGAAAGGTCACATACCTCTGTTTCTTCAGAATTTGTCCTTGGTAACTTATTTAGTTTGTTTGCTGAAGTCACAGTTTCCTGGATGGTCTTTATGCTTGTAGATGTTCACTGGTGTCTGGGCATTGAAAAGTTGGGTATTTATTGTATTCTTCACAGTCTGGGCTTTCTTGTGGTCATCCTTCTGGAGAAGGCTTTCCAGGTATTCAAAGGGATTTGAATCCCAAGCCCAATAGCACTGTGATTTTTCTAGACCTGTAAAAGCACCTCCTTGATTGTCTTAGATAAAATCCAGATGACCTCTGGATTACCAGCCTGATTCTTGTCTTTTCTCCTTACTTTCTTCCCAACAAATGGAGGCTCTCTCTCTGTGCTAAGGCACCTGGAACCAGGGGTGTGGTAATATAGGCACCCTTGTGTTCACCACCACTGGGACTATGCTGGGTCAACCTGATGTCAGCACAGCACTGGGTCCCACCCAAGGCATACTGTAACCGCTGCCTGGCTACCACCTATGTTCATTCAAGGCCGTGGGGCTCTATGATCAGCAAGTGGTAATGTCAGCCAGGTTTGTGTCCTTCCCTTCAGGACATTGTGCTCCCCCCGCTCCTGGGAAGGTCCAGAGATGCTCTCTGGAAGCCAGGGATTGCAGCAAAAAACCTTAGAAGTTTACCGATGTTCTATTCTACTGTGGCCAAGCTGGCACTCAAACTACAATGCAAAATCCTTCCTGTTCTTTCCCTCTCTTTCCACAGGCTTAGGAGCCTCTCCTTGTGGCCACTAATACCACTGGCCCATGGGGAATTCTGCCAGGCCACCACTGATGTTGATGTAAAGACCAAGGGCTTTTCAGTCAGCTTGTGGTGAATTATCCCACGCCTAGGACTCACCTCTCAGTGCAGTATTGGGCTCCCCTCTGGCCCAGGACAAGCCCATAAATGCTGTCCAATAGCCTAGGTCTGGACTTGGGGACACCAAGAGCCTGTTTGTTACTCTACACCACTGTTGCCAAGCTGGTACCTAAGGTGCAAAACAAAGTCCTCATCACCTTTCCCTCTGCTTTTCTCAAACAGAAGGAGTCTTTCAGCATAGCCACCACAGCTGGGAGTGTTCTGGGTCACATCTGAAGTCAACTTATCTCAGAGCCAACAGCCTACGGCGTACTACCTGGATATCACTACTGGTTATTCAGGCCCCAATGGCTCTTTAGTAAGCAGGTGATTAATCCTGCCAGGACTGGGTCCTTCCTTTCAAGGCAGTGGAGTGACTTTTGGCCAAGGATGTGTGTAGAAATGTCATCATGGGCTAGGGCCTCGAATGGGAGTCTCATGACTCTGCCCAGTACCCTGTGCTACTGTGGCTGAGCTGGTATGCAAGATGCTAGACAAATTCCTCTTTACTTATTGCTCTCTTCTTCTTAAATAGAAGGAAGGAATTGCTTTTGTTTGAGAGATGTGCTGCCTGGGGTTGGGGAAGGGGTGATGCAAGCACTCCCTTCGCTGCCCTGGCTGGTATCTCCTTAGGTCATGTGCCACCCTAGTTCACTGGCTCTGAGCCTAGCCCAGAACAAGGAGATACCTAGGAATTGTAGTCCTTGTGTCCTAGACTGCCTTTCAAGTTTACCTCGGACCCTAGAGCACTTCAGCCCCTGATGACAAGGTTTGTTCTTACCTCTGAGATGAGTGATTTCCCTTTGGCTAGGGCTGATCCAAATTCTCCTTCCCTGTGTGGGCGCTGGCTGAGTATGACTTTGCTCTCCACTGTGACAGGGCTGCACCGAGTTCAACCTAAAGTCCCCCAGTCACTGAGCTCTCCCTCCCCCAAGTGCACAGACTCTGTACCATGTAGCCACAGCTGGGGGGTTGGGAAGGGATGCTGTCAGCAATTCAAGACTGTCTCTCCTGCCTTCTTTAATGCCTCTTTCAGTGACAGGAATTTAAAATCAAGTACTATGGTTCTTGTGATGATGCTTTTCCGTGACAGTTGTTTAACTTTGGTGTTCCTGTGGGGGATGGTGAACAGTGTAGGCTTCTATTCTGCCATCTTGCTCTACCCCTTAAATGTTGTTTTTAGTTGCCACGTTTTGTGGTCATTTGTTACATAGCATTGGATAACTAATACAAAGTGCCTTATAGTTGGTCTTTTAAAATTTATTTTTGAGCACAATTTGGACCATTTAAATGTGTAAATTTGTATTTAGTTCTTCAAATTAGAAAATAAATTAATTGATAAGTAAGCCTCTTTGCTTCTTATTTTTTCTGAAATTCCCTTAATTCTAATGTAGATGTCTGGACTATACCTCTCATTTTGTTATCTTCTTTTTCCCATTTTCCTCCTCTTTGTCTTTATTTTACTTGCTGGGAAATTTCTTCAATTTTATCTTCTAAACCTTCTGCTGAATTTTCAACTTCCACTATTGTGTTTTTAATGTCTAGGAACTCTTTCTTTCTTATTCATATACTATTCTTTTCTATAGCCCTCATTTTCCATGGCTGAAAAATTTTTCATTTATTTCTTAGAAAATAATAATTTTAGAGTTTTTTTGGACATTTTTTTCTTCTTTTTCTGCACTGTTTCAAAATTTTCTGATTGCCTTCTACATTTTATTCATTTGGATCCCTGTCTATTATGTTGGAGTCTTTTGTTTTTCAAATATTTGATGAGTCTTATCTCTCTATTAATATTTTAACAGCTTTGTTGAGCTCTAATTAACACATAATAAATTACATATGTTTAAAATATATAACTTAATATTTATGACATATATATGCCTATGAAGCCATTATTACATTCAAGGAAATGAACATAACCATCACATTCCCCACAACCCCACCAAATTTTCCTCATGCTCTTTTTCTCAGTTATTTATGTTTAAGAACAAAATAATACAAAGTCAATTGGAGTCTATGGGTTTCTGGGGCATGTTGAATAATGGCCTTCGTCAGGAGTGGCTGGGTAGTGACTATATTAGTTATATATTGCTGCATAACAAATTACCCCATAATTAACAACTTAAAACAAAAAACATTTACCATTTCAGGTTTTTGGGCCATGGTCTCTGGCACAGGGTCTCTCCAAAGGTTGAAGTCAGGATGTTGTCAGAGGCTTCGGACACATCAAAGTTCAACTATGGGAAGAGTCACTTACAAGCTAATTCACATGATTATTGACATGCCTCATGTTTTTGCTGGCTGGCGATCAAAGACATGACTTTTTTTGCCATTTGAGCTTCTCATCAGAGCAGCTCAACATGACAATTGGTTTATTTCAGAGGAGTGAGTGAATGAGAAAGTTAAAGTCCCTAAGAGAGAAATTACAATCTTTTTGCAACCTAGCTTTGGAAGTGGTATCTCATCACTTCTGCCATATTCTATTCATTAGAAATGAATCACTAAGTCCAGGTCACATTCAAAGAAAGAGATTACACAGGAACAGAGATATCAGAGGCTAGGATCACCGGAGGCCATCTTAGAGGCTGCCTTCCATAGGGGTGAAGCCATTTCCTTGGCAGAACTCTCTAATGTCAGTATCTATAGGCCTTTTTTCTTGTCCAGGACAAAGACATCAGAGAATCTCCTGCCTGGGATGTGTCACTGGCCTCTGACCTTTAAGGAGAGTAGGGCAGGAGTGAATGTGGAAGTGACAGAGACACAGAGTAGGGGCTCTGAATCTGAGTGTTCCATATGAAGTCTTTACCTTCATTCAGTACAACATACTTGCTGTCTTTGAAGGTTTTTAAGTAGTAAAATGAAATGATCAGAATTCTGTTTCAAAATTATTCTGACAGCTGTGCAGATTAAACAAGAAATACTTAGAGATATTGGACCATTTCTGGACCTACTGGAATAGAATGGTGGCAGCGATTATGAAAGATTGGAAGAGTTGCCTTACCAGAGAAGCAATTGCTTGCCATAGCAACTATACAGATTTGGGGTTGGGGAAACAGGGGTATATAAGAGACCACATTCTTTTTCCTCTGTTTTCAGCCTCTGAGTGACTCCACTGTTGCTAGTTAGAAGATATAATGGTGTAAGACTTTAGGCTTCAGTCTAAACCACTAAGAATCCCTAAATGTTAATATCCCACCACTGTTTTATTCCATAAGTTCTTAACTGTGAAGTCTTGACAGGCTGGCTTACTTCCATAATTGTGAGGTACATTAGAAATTATTTATTGCTAATAATAGATAGGGACAAAGTCTGGAGAATATTCATTCTTTTGAAATCTGCTATGTTGGGTTTGCTGCATCCCTATAATAGCACTCTCATTCTCATTCATTTAAATATGGTTAAGGATCCTGAAAAAATTCTGGGTATAACCCAGAATCTATATGTTCTATGTGGTGATCTTTAGTAACCTGAGTCAGTAAAGCTAGAGTTTAAAATGGAATTGAGGACCCTCGTACTCTTTAAATAAAAATAGGTGAAAATGCTCATATGAAAGCAGGCAGACCTCCCTCTGTAACTGTGCTCCCAAAGTGAGACAGGCACCAGGAACATAGGTACTAATTTTGCCATATATACACATATATATGCATAAATAAATATATATATACACATACATATATATGTGTATATATATATATTTATAATTAGCTTTTGCAGGTCACACAAAATGATTTTAAAAGGAAATCAAAGAAAGTTGATTGGTAGACATTATATTGCCTCTTAGAACAAATGAATTTCTACTGAGGGGAAGAGGGAATAGAAACCCGTCTCCTTACATTCCTGCACAGCCACATTGCATAAAAGCCTACCAGAGACTAGGAATCAGGTTAGGCACTGTGGTTATCACTGTGCCACCTAGCTGCACATCTAAGTAGGGGCTTCGACTAGTACACAAATGTATAGAGAGGGACACGAGCACAATTTGTAAATCTTATCTGTTGACAAATGCCAGTCCTATATAGAGATCTTTTCAATACACGGCAAGTAGAAGAAAACCTACAAATAACTTCTAAATTATTGCAAGGCAAGAATGATACATCATTCCATATATCCAGAAGAAAATAAACTTTTAAAAATTATTTGCTGCAGGAACTGGAAAGAAGGTACAGAAAATTACTTGGTATACACAAAAGGATATATGTTATAATATTTATAAAATAGGGGCTGAAAGTCGCAAGAATAGAAAAGTCAGAGGAAAAAAAGATTTGAAATGAAGAAGCATGGCAGAAGTGAAAGTATCATAGTAAAAGCAGTTAAAGACAAACAGAAAACACATTATAAAACATAAATCAGTGATATGGATTGCCAATTCAAGATAATCTCCAAAGCTCAGAGGAAATTGTAAAGTGAAAACGAAGAGAGGGGAGATTAAAATTGAATAAAAAGATGTTATTAAATCCAGTAATTATGAATTTAAAACCCTCAAAAATTGTCATTGAAGAAGTATTCAAAGATACCACAGAAAACTTATAGAGCTGAAAAATGACTTGAATATGTATATTGAAATGACTTACTATACCAGTTCAAAAAACTGAATACTAAAGAAAAAATAAACTATAAGAACAAAAGCAATATTCTACAAATATTGGGACAGAAAAATGAGCAAATATTAGTTTATGTATATAAAGAGAAGTAAAATCTGCCTTAGATCTCTCCCTTGCAGTATAAAATCATGAAATAATTAATTTTTGCTCCCAAGAAATTTTAGATTTTCAAGAACTTAGAATAAATTACCCTCCTTATACTTTGCATAAGTACTTAAACTAAGAGATTAAGAATGGAGGTAACTCAAAGTTTAATACTACTTTTAACCAAAAAAGAGAATGAGAATAACAAAGAGTAATAGTAGTGGCAGAAAGCCATTAGACCTTAAACCCTTTAAGAGCAACAATCTGTTATGTCGTTCTAGAAACTAACACCTAGCCAATAGTTCTACAAAGACTAGCAGTGAACACTCAATTACATTAAACATAAATTTCAGTCTAAATGATTGTTTTAAATTTGGTTACAAAATTGAATAAAAACAGAATGTTGCTTAAAGAGAAAATAACAAATGCTTAACATAATTTAATAATATTAATATGGGTCTTAACATATATATTATAGTTTTAAAATACGAGAAGATGAAGTGAAAAAGAAGTAAAAATGTGGTACATTCCCCCTCTCACATGGAATGAGGAAAGTATCAAAAGGAGGAAGGGATGCAAAATACATATTTTATTATTGACTTTTGAAAACTTTTGACATAGAAGGGTTTTCTTTGAGAAATGTAAATATAATCATAAGAATTAAAAACAGAATATATGAGCTCCAAATCACTGGGGTACATCAAAATAAGAAAAACTCTTTTAAGTAGAGAAAATACACAGTAAAAACAAGACATAATACAAAACAAAAAGATGGAACACAAGACATATAAAGTGTGACTAAAACTGTCATGAAGTCCATAGAAGGCAAAGGAAAAACTAAAGTAAAATTAAAGCAAATCAAAGTAATATTATGTAGCTTACATGAGACTGTTGAAACAAAATGATATTAAAAAAGGAAATGAAAATGATTGTTAGGAAACTCCAAAAATTAAACTATCAAGAGTTGCAATTCTATTTTCAGACAAAGTGGAATTTAAGGCAAAATCATCAAACAGTTAAAAGAGGGTAATTTTATATTGAAAAATGGTATCTGTTAACAAATCATACATTCTTCATTGACTTTTTAAAATACACACCTAGAATGACATGAAGGAAATATGCCAAATTAACAATGATCTTAAGATGGATTATAGACAATGTGTACTTTCATGGTACATGCTGTTACATATTCATACCCATAACGATTCGGAAAGAAAAAAAGGTGAATGAATGAAAGAAAACCATCTATGAATAAAAGAAACATATACCATAATTCTGAAATAAAATGGTTGCTTTTTAGCTCTTAAAGTTTCTGTATCAGCTGTCCAATCATCCCTTTAAAAGAATTCCTTCTCTATTTGCTGAGACTTTTTTTTTTTCCAGTATATTCTTTCTTGTAATTATGTGGCTTTATTTACTACCTTTCTTTAACCTGATTCTACCTTCACAATTACTTTCTGGACATCTCTACACAAGTGTCTTAGTGACACTAAAAACTCAGTGTATCTAAAACTGAAGTAATTTGGTTTCATTAGTCATTAATTAAATTAATAACTATGGAGCACCTACTGTATACTCGGTTCTGTATCAGATTGTGGAGCTACAAAGCAGATGCATGCCTTCCAAAAGCTTAGAATCTAATGGCTTCTTCTAAAATTTGTTCTTTTTCCTTTTTCTCTATTTTGGTAAAAGCACTATGAACCTCTGAATTACCTAGGCTCAACATCTCTGACATTTATTTATTTATCATGATTATTGATACAGCTTGGCTCTGTGTCCCCACTCAGATCTCATGTTAAATTGTAACTCCCAATGTTGGGTGAGGGACGTGGAGGGAGGTGATTGGATCATGTCGCATATTTCCCCCTTGTTATTGTGATAGTGAGTTCTCATGAAATCTGATGGTTAAAAGTGTGTGGCACTTCCCTCTTTCCTCTCTGTCTCCTGCTGCCATGTGAAAACGTGCTTGCTGCCCCTTCACACTTCCACCATAATCATAAGTTTCCTGAGGCCTCACAGCCATACTTCCTGTATAGTCTGTGGAACTGTGAGTCAATTAATCCTCTGAATAAAATACTCAGTCTCAGGTAGTTCTTTATAACAGTGTGAGAATGGACTAATGCAATTATTTTTTAGCTCTTCTCCGTCTCTTGCTTTTCACATCCAAATAGCTGCCTGGAGCTGTTTTTTCAGATTTTGCCTGTTTGTTTGTTTTCTTTTCTTTTCATCTCTACTACCTACTGTCCAGGTTTCATCTCTCTCACCTGTACTTTTGAAATATAACCTCCTAAATTATCTCATTATCTTCAAATCTCCATTTTTTTTCAATCTTATTAACTATTGCGAGTTAATTCATGTCAAAATAGAGCCCCTGGATTCACTCTCCCTGTTGCAGGTTTAGCACGAATGCAGGTAAACTGTGGAAATTAATCAAAATATTTAACAACTGAAGGACATGAATCAAAACAGGTGTCAGGCAGATTCTAATGAATCAGAACAGAGGCTGGATGTAAACAGCCACATACAACTGTACCAGTGCTTTCCAGCACTCCTGGATGTACCCACCCCCACTCCACAGTTAGATGTGTTCTTGGGGCAGAGATTGCAATGAGTTAATCAGAATCTTTATTGTGTCTTTCCTGGACACAAAGCTGGGAAACTTTTCTAGTTCTACTAGTTCTCATCAAAAGAGTTAAGTGTGAAACTTCTGAGTTAAGTTAGTTAGGCATGTATACCTCACCCAGGGAAAAGACTTCGAAGGCCAAGAGGACAGTGGAACTACTCTAGGCCTTCCAAGAGGACAGTGGAGCTACTGTCCTCTAGGTCCTCCAAGGAAAGATCCTGGGTCACTAAGAAAAGAACCTGGGTGACTAAATGACCACATGGTAGGTCATCTCAGAAGGAATACCGCATTTGGCTGTGATGGAACACAAAATAAATGCTTATTGTATCAAGACACTGCTAGTTTAGGACTTACTTGTTTCTGGAGCTACTATTACCTTGATATATCATCTTCTCTGTTTCCTCAGCACCCTGTATCCAACTGTGTTACAGAAGCAATTGGCATGTAATTCATATTTTGTTTGTGCATCTATCTCTTTCTTTAAATCCCAAATTCCTTGAGAGCAAGAATATTTTCTTTTATCTCCAGAACCTAGAATATATGCCTGAAACTAAATACTCCCTGAAAATATGCCTTTTAGATGTTGCTGTTTTTAATGAATCCTGTTATTCTAGGAAATATTTCAACAGCTCTAAAACTTTGATGGCATCTCTTTGCTTAAAAAAGAAAAGCTCAAAGTCTTAGGTTGGTTTGCAAGAGTCATCATTGTCCTGTGAGTCTTCCTATTTCACTTCAACTTTTACATTTAATGCCTTAATCTTCTAGTCATTGTTTTTATAACATTTCCACAATCTTTTGCTTTAATGATTTTGTTTATACTATTCCTATTAATAGAATGATTTTTTAATGTTTTCATGTTCAAAACCTATTTTCCCCTTAAAGTTTAACTTAGGTGCCTTGCTATCAATTAAACATTTACTAATTTCTTCCAGCAAGAAGCTTTCTTTCTCTCTAAAAACTCTTATAGCCCTTTACTTTTCTTGTAGCATTTATTATTTATTAGTATCATAGGTAGTTATGAACATCACTTATTATACATTTGGTATTTCACAAGCTCAATAAATTTAATATATTTTAAGTATGATATCTTTTTTAAATACAAGAAGAAATATAACTATTTTCTTATAGTTCACCAATTTATTTAACAGAAAATCTGTTTAAAAACAAGTGCTAAGATATTGAGAGAAGTTTCAGCTACTATTTTTGTTGACTAGCTAAATAGCTCAACATATTCTAGCAAAGAAAACCACCATAGACCCTTATTCAGTTTAGAATGTTTTTCCCATCTTACTTCTAAAGTAAAGCTGGCTACAGAATCTTGACTTTAAAAGATGCAATCTTTACAACTGTAGTAGAGTAACAATTGTTCATCTTGCCCCAAAAATATTCCATGTCCATAAAATAAATACAAAATGTTATATAAATTGATTTTATAGTAAACAGATAATAAAATAATAATTATATATTGGGTGGGTAAAATGTATTTTGTATACAGACAACTGATACGATTTTTGTCTACCTGGTTGGTTAATCCGTTTCAGTGTTTTAGTTTTACCTCAATACTCCTCTCAATTTTGATCAGAAAAACACAGTACAATTTTATTTGAAGAATCCATCCAGATCATTTAAATTTCTTTGGGATTGATTTTGTAGCATGTGAAGAACAGGTCGTTTGTTCTGTGTGCACAAAGAAAAACCCTGAATTGATTTAAAATGAACCAGGTCAGTGTAGATCAATTTAGGCAATGATGACCCATGAGGAGATGCAAATTAGGATTCTCCTGCTGAGACCAAAAATAGATTTCATCAAATTATCTCTGAGCAGATTCTTAAAATGTGTCTAAAAAAAGACAGCCATAAAAATTTCAGTATTCCTATAGCAATATGAATGAGAAGAAATAGAAGAGTCAGGGATAAAGGATATTTCAACAAAATAATTTCTTAATGTATAGCCTAGTGTTTTTATTATCCACATTAGTGAGTTTAGAAGTAAAGACATTATTGGAAGAACAAATAAAAGGGCAGACTACTAATGACTTTATGCCAAACGTGTTTGTCATTCATGATTCCTCTTACATAAGTAATGAAAGGTAGGGTTTAGTTCCTATTACAATGTAAAAGTACTGTGCATTAATGTGTGCACGTACTCCTTACAATGTGTGAGGTGCTTAACAGAACGCTTCTGATTGAAGTACCTGGAAAACTAAGAAATCATAGCTAATTCATGAAGCAACTGCACCAAAAACTGGAGCTATTAGTAGCTTTATCTGAGAGTTACATTGTTATAACAGTGACAGTGATACCAGGAAGATAATTGCTATTCCTTGTTAACAGTTTCATCTTAGAAAGAGAATGTTTATCTTAGAAAGAAAATGACTTTATAACTTATTTTTGGCCCAATTTGCTGCAGCACAATTACTCGTTCCCTGTAATCTGTTACCAAAGAGAAGTGAATTCTCCATTCTGAGAACCTCAGATACAAGATATCTGACTTTAAATTTCTACCGCATACTTTTTTAAATTTTATTTTATTTTATTTTTTTGAGATGGAGTCTCACTCCATCGCCAGGCTGGAGTGCAGTGGTGCAATCTTGGCTCACTGCAACCTCTGACTCCCTGGTTCAAGTGATTTTCTCACCTCAGCCTCCTAAGTAGCTGGGATTACAGGCATGCTCCACCACGTCCAGCTAATTTTTGTATTTTTAGTAGAGATGGAGTTTCACCACATTGGCCAGGATGGTCTTGATCTCCTGGACCTCATGATCCGCCTGCCTCTGCCATGCAAAGTGCTGGGATTACAGGCGTGAGCCACGTATACCTTTAAAACTTGATAGTACGGTGCTTATTCAGAGCAAATTTATCAGCAGATGTATTTTAGTTTGGGTGGAACCAGAGATTACCCAGTGTACGAATTTTAGCCCTGACTATGCTGCAGACTACTTTGGTATAAACCTTGGTTACCTCATCTGAGTTGTCATCTTAGTCAGTCTGCTGAGTTCTTTTACTATTTCACTTATTAAAAACTAAGGTTCAGTTTTAATTCCAGGAGCAAAAAAAAAAAAAGACCAATGTTATAAGACATCAGCACCACAGGCAGTGTGATATAGACAAGGAATATTACCAGGGCTAAAAAAGAACATTACAATGTGATTAATAAAAAAAATCAATTCACTAAGAAAAGAAAAACATTCTAAGTGTGTGTGAACCTAAAAACTCTTTTTGATAATACATAAAGCAAAAAATAATGTAACTGAATAAAGAAATAGACAAATCTGTAATTATACTTGGGTAGTTCAACAATCCTCTCTTGGCAATTAATATAACAGACAGAAAATCAATAAGGATATAGAAGCCTGAATCAATACTATCCACCAACTTTATGTAATTAACATGTATAGAATATTCTAACAACAGCAGAATACAAACTATTTTCAAGTACACATAAAATATCCACCAAGTTAGACAATTTTCTGGCCATAAATCAAATCATAACAAATTTAAACAAATAAAAAAATCACACCAAGTGAATTATAAGACCATAAAAAAATATTAAACTAAAGAAAAGTAAGTCAGGGACAGTGGCATCTCCCAGGCTACTGATGAGGCTGAGGCAGGAGGAATTTTGGAGCCTAGGAGTTCTGGGCAATAGTGCACTATAATTGCACCTGTGAATAGCCACTGCACTCCAGCCTGGGCAACATAGCAAGACTCTGTCTCTAAGGAAAAAAAAAAGTAACAGAAAGATATATGGAAAATGACTAAATATTTGGAAGTAAACAAAACACTTCTAAATAACCTATGAGTCAAAGAGGAAATCACAGGAAATCACATGAAAAATTAGAAAATATTTTAAATTAAAAGAAAATGAAAGCACTGACAAAATTTGGGAGATGCAGTTAAAGCAATACTTAGAGGAAAATGTATAAAGGAAGGTGTGTAACATTAAATGTTTATATTAGAAAAAAAACCTCTTGAATCAGTGAACTAAGCCTCCACTTTAAGAAACTGGTAAAGAAAAGCAAATTAAACCCTTAGAAGGAAAGGGAGGTATAATAGATAAGAGGTGCATTAATCAATGAAAGTGAAAAAAACAATAGAGTAATTGAAAACCAAATCCTTGTTCTTCGTAAAGATTAAAAAAAAAAAAGATAAACCTCTAGCCAGACCTACCAACCAAAAACAGGGAGACAATACAAATTATCAATATTAAAATGAAAGACAGAACTTAGACATGAAAATCATCATAATAAAATATTACAAACAATTAGATGCAATGGGCAAATTCCTTGAAAGGTATAAACTATAAACTACCAAAGTTTACTCAAGAAGAAATGGATAGCATGATTACTTTGATATATGTTAAAGGAACTCAATTCATAGTTAAATCCTTCCAAGAAAAAAAATGCCAAGCACAATGAATATAACAATTAATTCTTCCACACTTTTAAGAAAGATATAATGCCAATTTTACAAAATCTCCATGAAAGTAACATTTCGCAATTCATCTCATGAGGCCAGTGCTGCCCTGATATTAAAACAAACAAAAAAGGATGTTACAGGAAAAACCTAGTGAACAATATTTCTCATGAAAGTAGATATAAACTTTTTTTTTTTTTTTGAGATGGAGTCTTGCTGTGTTGCCCAGGCTGGAGTGCAGTGGCGCAATCTCGGCTCACTGCAAGCTCCACCTCTTGCGTTCAAGCCATTCTCCTGCCTCAGCCTCCCGAGTAGCTGGGACTACAGGCGCCCGCCACCACGCCCGGCTAATTTTTTTGTATTTTTAATAAAGACAGGGTTTCACCGTGTTAGCCAGGATGGTCTCAATCTCCTGACCTCGTTATCCACCCGCCTCAGCCTCCCAAAATGCTGGGATTACAGGCATAAGCCACCGCACCCGGCCCATGTAGATATAAACTTTTAAACAAAATGAGAGCAAATCGAATCTACTAATATATTAACACAAAAAGGATAACAAATTATGAGCAAGTGGGGTTCATCCCAAGACTGCAAGGCTCTTTCAACATTGAAAAAATCAATCATAATTAACCACATCACTAAAAAAGAAAAACCGTTATAGGTCTCTTTCAACAGATGAAAAACAAGCTTTTAATAAAATTCAATATTCATTCATAATAAAAACTCTTTGAAAATGAAGAATAGAAGAAAACTTCCTCAACCTGATAAAAGGGATCTATGAAAATCTACAGCTTCCATTCTACATAATGATGAAAGCAGAATGCTTTGCCTCTAAGATCAGGAACAGTGCAAGGATGTTTGCTCTCAGCACTTCTATTTAACATTAATAAAAATTGTCTTTATTTGAAGTTCATAGGTTTATCTTTTAAAAATCATTTGAAATCCATAAAAGAAGAATCTACAGAAGAATAATCTACAAAATGAGGTTAGTTAGGTACATTAGAACTAGTGAGTTTAGCAAGGTTTAGTGATAAAAGGCCAGTATACAAAAACCAATTGTAATTCTATACACTAGCATTTAATAATTAGAAATTACAATAAAAAGATATACAACAACAAAAACATAAAATATGTTACATATAAATCTGAAAAATATGAAGAATCTATATGCAACAAAGTAAAAAAATTGATAAAAGAAATCAAAACAGATCTAAATAAAAGAGGTGTACAGTGTTCATGAATTGAAGGAGTAAATATTGTGAAGATGTCAATACTTTTTAAACTAATATAGAGATGCAATAATCACAATCAAAATCTTGAAGGATTTTATATAGTAATAGATAAACTGATTATAGAACTTGCTTGGAGAAGCAAAATAACTAGAATAACAAAAGCAATCTTAAAAAATAAAAATACTATCTGGTTTCAAGCCTAAAGAGCTACAAAAAGTCAGAGAGTGTGGTATTGACCTCAAGACAGACAATTAGATCAATGGAACAGAAAAAGATTTGAGAAACATACCTGCACATACACAGTCAACTGCATTTTGACAAGGTTCAAATGCAATTACAATGGATAAAGAATGATCTCTTAAAACAAATGGTGCTGGGACAATTGGACTCCCATATGTAAAGAAAAAAAGAGGAACTTTGACACATACCTTCCATGAGATTAAAAAAGTAACTAAAACTAGATCATAGACTTAAATAAAACCCCAAAATTATAAAACTTCTACAAGGAAATGGAATAAAATTCTTTTTGGGTTAGGCAAGATTTCTTAGTTACTATACGAAAAGCATGACTTATTACATTTTTAAAAATTAATAAATTGGACTTCATCAAGAATAAAAACTTTTCCTCTGTGAAATATAATGCTAAGAGACTATAAAGACATACCACAGATAAGAATATTTACAAAACAAATCTCTGACAAAGGATTTATATTCACTATGCAAGAAAAAACACCTATTAAATCACATTAACTTAATAAAAAGCTAGATAAAAGTGAACAAATGATTTCACAAAAGAAGATACCTGAATAAAGATGTATGGATGCTGAGTACAAGAGAATTTGTTCTACATAATTAGTCATTCAGTAAAGATTTAAAACCACAATGAGATACCACTGCAAACCTATAAGAATGGCTACAGTTAACAAACAACCAAAATACTGACAATACCAAGTGCTGAAAACTAGAACTCTCTTATGTTTATGATGGGAAAGCAAATGTTACAGCAACTTTAGAAAACAGTTTGGTTATTTTTTATACACATACTTACCATATAATCTAGAATTTCACGCCTCGGTATTTAGCCAGGTGAAATAAAAATCTGTTTGTTCAAAAACTTTTACATAAATGTTTATAGTGATATATATGGTCATCAAAAAAAACTGGAAATCAAATGTCCTTGAATTGATGTATGAATAAAAACCTAGTATATCTATATAATTAAATCTGCAATATAAAGGAATTTACACTAATTGCATTATTACCAATATGTACAAAAACATATTGGATGAATCTCAGATGCATTATGCTAAGAGAAGGAAGTCACCTAAGAAAGAATGTAGGTGCTATAAGATAAAATGGAATGCAAATAAGATTTTCTGATGGAAATGTTGGTATATATTAGAAGGAATTATTCCAACTTTTAATAAACATGCCTACAAATATCATAGATAATAATATATGATGTATATTCATGTATATGTAATGTAATATAGTATCTTTATCATAAACCCCTTAAGGATAGAAATTGTGTTTTTCCACCAATACTTATAATGTATTTAATTAAAAAGTTTTTTCATCAATTATATATTTAAGATCCTATGCACATTTAAGTGCTTTACTTTTGTTACTTTTATTTCATCTCAAATTAATCTTTCAACTGTTAATTTTGTTCATTAACTACATGAACAAAAATTGAATACCAAAACTGTGGTATTCAATTTTGGAAATTTTGGCTGCAGGCTAATTTTAAGTTGATATTTTTGTTTCTTCCCTCTCTTCTCTACCCCTCACTTGTTGTCCTCCTTCTTCCTTTGCGCAATTTTCTCTTTGTCTTTGTTTTGTCATCTTTTTTTTGTTTTTTTTTCAGGTTGTCTCCAGTGCTCTAGTACAAAACAAGATCATATGTTGGCTTTGAGGAGCTCCTGATCTTTATTTCTATGAGGATACTGCTAATTAACAATCTGGCAGGGGGCTTAACTCAGTTACTAGTTTAGGGATTTCTATCTGTGTTCTCTGAATTTTCCAGGAGTGCAGCCTGACACAAGGCATAGGCCCTGGCAGCATGAATAGTAGCTGTCTAGTAGCTAAGGCCCCTCTGCAGGAGAGATGGGTGCTGGCTGAAACTACGGCACTAAGCCTAGCTATAATCTAGGGTGCATTTATTCCCTGATACCTCTCCTAGCAACTAATCTCATGGAAGTCTCTACCTGCTTTTAACCACTCAGTTGAAATCCATTCATTAATTTCCATTTATTTTATGGTGTTTATATATGGATGTACTTTTATTAGTTTTTAAGACTATATATTTTTAAGCTTAAAAAATATTTTTATATTCCCTCTATGTGTTTGGAGCAGTTAAGGGAGTTGAAATGCTCAGGGGATGAAATAATGAGTTTATTGTTTTTGCTTGGTTGGATGCCGTTGCATATAAAATACTCCACATAAATATTTGCTAAACTAATTGGTGCTAAGTTGCACTTAATATCCAACATTATAGTGGTATTCTACTGAGTTATTTTTTTCTTCTTACTTTCAGCTTTATGTAGTATATCAAACAAAAATTAATGTCTTTATTAGGGTAACAAAAATTAATTTGGGGGGATAACCTTCAGGCATCTTTCAGGAGATAAGACCATTTGATGGCATCTTCAGAACTGAGCTATGCACATTTCTTTACCAGCCTTGTTATTTTGTTTACATATTTCCCTGTAGCAAATATAAATATTAGAGATTACATTTTATGCTATTACCTTGGAAATATCAACTTTCTACTATTTTCAACTGTATCAGTAGCAACTCTTGTCTCCTGATGGTAGGCAAGGTAAAACTATCTTTAGACTATGTGGACAAACTCTTATTTGAACTGAGTTTTATTCTTTGATCAATCAACAGATTGATGTCTCTCAATGTCAAAAGTCTCACAAAACTTCAAAGACATATAGCACCGAGTTTGATCTTAAAAATACAAAATAAAAGGTTTTTTAATCTTAGGAATAAGTCCTGTTTTTTATCTTATATACTAGTGAATTAAAAATATTATGAGAGCATGCCTATAGGCCATCCAAATTAAAAAATGAAATTGAAATTAATTAAAAAGTAAAAAGCTCTTTTAGGAGAATGCTAACTCATAAATGTTACAAGGTAGAAAAATAATTTTGTAACCATAATA
Organism: Homo sapiens; assembly: GCF_000001405.40. Lineage (NCBI taxonomy): Eukaryota > Metazoa > Chordata > Mammalia > Primates > Hominidae > Homo > Homo sapiens. Next base: position 110,459,595 of record NC_000005.10, read on the forward strand.
GTAATGTAAGAAATACCAGACAAGAAACATCAATGGATATTACACTTAGTGGGTAAACGTTTAATGGGAAACAGGCTATTTAGAGTGTGTCAAAATATTTTCTTACAAATTAGTTAATTACTAAGGGAATATAGAGTAACTTTATGATGGGGAAATCTATTAGACACCCCCTTAACCAGGTGGCGAAAATTTAAATCACCAATAAAAGAACAAATGAATGTCATCCCTGATATGATACACTGAGAAGGACACATTGTTTCTGTGCTATTCTTGCTGACGTTACATAACCTGCAACTAATCATGAGGAAAAATTAAACTCAAGCTGAGTTTCATTCTACAAACTATTCCCTGTATTCTGTAAAAAATGTCAAGATTAAGAACCACGAAGAAAGGTTGAGAAACAAGTCCAAACAAATGAGACAAAGGTGACATGACAATCAATTGCAGTGTGTGATCCTGGACTGAATCCTGAACCTGGAGGAAAAATAACTATTAAATAATTTGAAGACAATTGAAAAAAACTTAGTATGACTGTGAATTATAAGATAGCATTATATCAATTTTAATTTCCTGATTTTAATCAGTGTTCTGTGTTTATATAAGATAATCTTATTGGTCTGAGGAATACACTGGGGTGTTAAGGGGAAAAAGGTATGATGTCTGAAATTTACAACAGTTTAGTAAAAATGTATAAGTAAGTGTGTGTGTGTGTGTGTGTATGTGTGTGTAGATGGAAAGGAAATGAATGATAAAGTAAATGAGGCAATATGTAAACATTTGTGAATCTGGGAAAAGGGTATATGGATGCTCTCTATAGTAATCTCACAACTTTTCCTATGCTTGAAATTGTATTAAAGCAATATGTTACCTCAAAAATATTTGCATTAAGATGCTAAACATTTATTCAAAAAATACTGCAAAGAAATTAATACTTTTGCTTAAATCAATTTTGGGACACTAAAAATATTGCCTTTAAGTATAATTTGCCACTTCAAACACACACACATATACTACTATAGGCATATTTCATTTTCTCGTGCTTTGCTTTATTGAATTGCACAGATATTGCATTTTTCTTTTTTTTTTTTTTACAAATTAAAGTTTTGTGGCAACTTTATATCGAGCAAATCTATTGGTATCATTTTCCAACAGCATGTGCGCACTCGGTGTCTCTGTGTCACATTTAGTAATTCCCACAATATTTAAAACATTTTCATTATCATATCTGATATGGTGAGCTGTGATTAGTGATCTTTGATGTAACTATTGTAATTGTTTTGGGGTGTCACATACTCTGTCTATAGAAGATGGCAAACTCAGATACACATTGTACGTGTTCTGACTGCTCAACTGACCAGTTTTTCCCCCATCTCTCCCCCTCTGCTGGGGCTTCCCTATTCCCTGAGGCATAACGATATTTAAATTAGGCCTATTAATAATCCCACAATGGCCTTTAAGTGTTTAAATGAAAGGAAGAGTCACATGTCTCTCCCTTTCAATCGAAATCTAGAAATGATTAGGCTTAGTAAGAAAGACATATGAAAACTGCAATAGGCCAAAAGCTAGGTCTCTAGTACCAAATAGTCAAGCTGTGAATGCAAAAAAAAGAATCGTTATTAAAGGAAATTAAAAGTGCTACTCTAGTGAGCACATGAATGATTAAAAAAAAAAGTAAAACAATTTAATTGCTGATATGGAGAAAGTTTTCATGGTCTGGATAGAGGATGAAGCCAAAGCCTAATCCAGAGCAAGGCCCTGACTCTCTTCAGTTCTATGAAGACTGAGAGAGGTAAAGAAGCTGCAGAAGAAAAGTTGCAATCCAGCAGCGGTTGGTCCATGAAGCTTAAGGAAATAAGTTGTTCCTATATCATAACAGTGCAAGGTGAAGCGGCAAGTGCTAATGTAGAAACTGCAGCAAGTTATCCAAAGGATATAGCTAAGATAATTGATGAAGGTGGCTACACTAAACAAACAACATATGTTCAATGTGGATGAAAAGGTTTTTTATTGGAAGAAGATTTCATCTTGGACTTTCATAGCTGGAAAGAAGTCAATGCTTGGCTTCAAAGTTTCAAAGGACAGGCTGACCATCTTAGGGGATAATGCAGCCAATGAATGTAACTAGAAGCCAATGCTCATTGACCATTCCAAAAGTTCTAGGGCCCTTGAGAATTATGCTAAATCTACTTTGCCTATGCTCTAAATATAGTTTAACAAAGCCTAAATGACAGCACATGTTTTTACAGCATGGTTTGCTGAATATTTTAAGCATATTTTAGGAACTACTGTTCCTAAAAAAAAATGTATTTCAAAATGTTATTGCCCATTGACAATGCACCTAGTTATCCAAAAGCTCTGGTGGAGATGTACAAGGAGATTAATGTTGGTTTCATGTCTTTTAACACAATATCCATTCCAGAGCCCATGAATCAAGGAGCAATTTTGACTTTCAAATCTTCTAATTTAAGAAATACATTTTGTAAGACTGTAGCTGCCAAAGATAGTGATTCTTATAATGGATATGAGCAAGGTAAATTGAAACCATTCTAAAAGGATTCACCATTCTTGATGTCATTAAGAACATTCATGATTTATGGGAGGAGGTCAAAACATCAACATCAATAGTTTGGAAGAAGTTGATTCCAGCCTTTACGGATAACTTTGAGGAGTTCAAGACTACTGTGATGGTTAATATTGAGTGTCAACTTTGATTGGATTGAAGGATGCAAAGTACTGTTCCTGAGTGTGTCTATGAAGGTGCTGCCAATGGAGATTAATATTCGAGTTAGTGGACTGGAAAAGGCAGACCCCCCTCAATCTGGGTGGGCACCATCTAATCAGCTGCCAGCGCAGCTAGGATAAAAGCAGGCAGAGGAACATGGAAAGACAAGACTGGCTTAGTCTTCCAGCCTCCTCCTTTCTCCCGTGCTGGATGCTTCCTGCCCTCGAACATCAGACTCCAAGTTCTTCAACTCTGGGACTCTTGGACCTTTGGCCACAGACTGAAGGCTGCACTGCTGGCTTCCCTACTTTTGAGGTTTGGGGACTTTGACTGGCTTCCTTGCTCCTCAGCTTGCAGACAGCCTATTGTGGGACTTCATCTTGTGATAATATGAGTCAATACTCCTGAATAAACTCCCCTTTATATATACATCTATCCTATTAGTTCTGTCCCTCTAGGGTACCCTAATACAATTACAGTGACGAAAACAACCATAGAGGTGGTGGAAATAGCAGAATTAAAATTAGAAGTGGAGTCTAAAGATGTGACAATTGCGGCAAACTCATGATCAAATTTGAACATATGTGGAGTTGCTTCTTATGGATGAGCAAAAGAAATGGTTTCTTGAGATGGATTCTACTCCTGGTAAAGATGCTGTGAACATTGTTGAAATGCAAAAACGGATTTAAATATCAAATAAACTTAGCTGATAAAGCTGTATCAGGGTTTGAGAGGATTGACTCCATTTTTGAAAAAAAGTTCTACCATGGGTCAAATGCTATCCAACAGTATTTCAGGTTACAGAGAAATCTTTCATTGTGGCGACTTTATTGTTGTCTTATTTTAAGAAATTGCCACAGCCACCCAAATCTTCAACAACCACAACCCTGATCAGTCAGCAGCCATCAACATCAAGGCAAGGCACTCCACCAGCAAAAAGAAAGACGGTGACTCACTGAAAGCTCAGATGATTGTTAGCATTTTTTAACAACTAAATATCTTCAAATTAAGGTATGTGCATTTTTGAGACATAATGTTATTGCATGCTTCATAGACTACAGTATAGTTTAAACATAACTTTTATATGCACTGGGGAATAACAGAATTGTGTAACTCACTTTATTGTGATATTCTCTTTATTGCAGTAGTCTAGAATCCAACTTGCAATATCTCTGAGTTATGCTTATATACATATCATATTTAGATGTTTATTAGATATTCTAAACTTTATATGCTTCAAACCCTAAATATATTATTCTTAATCATTTAATTCCGGCTTTTCTTCTTTTCTCATTCAAAACCATTCCACCTGATTTTAGTTAAATGGTACAATTCTCTCTATTGCTGAGTCTAAAAACATGAGTCTTACTCCTAAGGCCTCTTTTGCCCACCTTTTTGACATATCCAATTTATTGGCAAATATGGTTAGTTCTACCTTCAAAACAGTCTTCTCTAATTTCACTTCTCCTGCCCTACTCCACACCCTCCATTGCATCTCACCTGCCCTACATAAGACCACCCACCTGATTTCCCTGTATTTCATCTTTATTCTGTGTTCTCCAGTCACACTGGCCTTATTTCTACCCCTTACACAGGCCAGGCTGAATACTTTTCACCTGGAGGCCTTTGTGCCTCCTATTTGAAATACTCATCTTCCAGGTATTCACATGGCTGTCTCATTTTATCATATGGGTCTTAGCTCAAATGCTACCTCCTCTGAGAGGCCTTTCCTGACCATCCTATATAAAGAAGTCATAATCTAATTTTTCATACCATTACTTGAACTTCTTTCATAGCAGTTCTCACACACCGAAGTTACACATTTGTTGTCCCCATTCAAGAACTATAAGAGGAAGGAATATAGTTCCTTATATAGACACCTATAAGAGGTGTCTGTTCTTTATCAGCAGAACGCAGTGGCTGAAAAATTGTAGATATTTAATATTTATCAAATGAGTGAAAAATGAACAAAAGCTACAAAATAAAGTCTTGTATTGTTTCTACTAGACAATAGCATCTTACTATTCATTTCTTGAGTCAATGAATGAAGACACTGGGGAAGGCAGAACAAGGGAAAAAGCTTCAAATCTGGAATTGCCATCATAGGCCAGAGTAAGTCTAGAATCTAGACTTATGAATGCTTCCAGTTTGTTCAAAATGCCACTAATTGGTAGCTGGTTGCAATTGGAAGAATGCCATAAATGTAAATGGACACCTAGGTGTCCAGCCCTGCTAGCATATGGTGTGACTTTTAAGCTCAAATTTATTCAGGTGTATCACAAAGAATCAGTCAGAGAATTTTAAAATGTCATCTTTATATAACGAGGGAAATTTGACACCACTAAGTTTATGGGAAAAGCTGTTCCATGTAACAACTAAGTGGAGAGCATTACATTTTGAACAAAAGAGATAACTAGGATAATACGAATCACCATAGCATTTGGAAAGACCTGGGAGTTAAACTCATATATACCATAAATCTATGATCTAGCTATCAATCTATGTATCTATCTGTGTATCTATCTATCTATCTATCATGAACCTACTCTAAAATTTCATGCTATAGTTCACTAAACTGCATACATTTCTAAGAACCTTGAGACAGTAAATAAGAAGTGGAGAATACTAATGCCCATCATGGTAATGCTTACACAGGAAGCCAGCCAAAGCTAAGGACTGGCTTCCTTAAGGCAGTACATCCTTATAAACAGACACTTTTCTCAAAGAAAGCTGAGATGGTCTAACAAATCGACAAAGGATAGCACTACCAAATGATCTTCAATGTAGGTGTAGAGTGAAAAGCTGTCTTTACTTTCTGCATTAGCACACTGTCAATGAATATTCAGATAGACAAAGACAGGGAAAACCAGGTTGAGAAGATTAGACTGTTTAGAAAGCTGTCTTGGCAAAATATTATATCTGTGAGGTATCCTCCAGAGCTGAGGCTATGTCCAGCTTTCTGTTTGTCACTGGGAAGTTTACCTGACAAAACTGTCATGTTCAACTTCTTAAGCCATTCCATCAATGTCATCTCTGATTGGTGGTTAACATCTTATGAAAAGGCAGCCTCTATAAAAGGGTAGCCTAGAGCTCAGTCACCTTACCAGCCCTGAACTCAGGCTGCATAATATTTTAGTTGGGTCAGGTTTCATTATATGGGTGTGAAAGTACCACAGCATTATTTTCTTTTCTTCTTTGTGTATATGTTTATTTGATAAAAATTTTGATTTTCATTGCCTATTTAGACTCAATATTTTGGTATATAAATAGACATTTAAAGTTTGCTTTAGAAATTTGACAATTCCAAAAATCTAACACATATAGACAACTAATCTAGAAATTTGAACTAAATAAATGTGTCCAATGATATATCCTCAAATTCATTTATCATTGCTTTGTTGATAAAAGTAAAAAATTGGGTGTTACTAATGGCCAATAATAGAGAATTGGTAAAATGAGTTATTGCTCCTACATGGAATATGCTACTCACCACTCCCAATTGGTTAGAAAAATATGAGTTCATTTATTAAGTTAGTTCTCCAATATTTATTGGGTATCTACCATGCATGAGCTTCTTTCTGCTCTAGTAATGGAATATGGCAATAAACAAGACAGAAAATCTCCACTCTCATAATACATTCATTCTAGATACATTTAATGAGTTGAAAAAAATGATCTTTCATGAGCAACTGAAAATAGCAGATTAAAAATATATATACAAAATAATATTGATTATGTAAATTAGAAATCTATCTACTAATTGAATATAGCTGTTTGGATAGAAAGGCATTTATGGAGAGATTGGATTGTTTGAGAAAAGCTAATCACAACTTTGAAAAATTCCCAAAATATTACCTTAGTACTGCTAAGGCAAAAGAAAGTGATATCACCACAGAAAAGTAGATCACTTTCTAATGTAGATTCACATAAACCAAATTTTTGAAAATACATACACAAAAACAGAATACCAAGATAATGAATTACAAAGAGAACTAATTTAAAAGCATAATCTCTCTCTATAGGCAATTCCATGGAGGAAATTATTTTTTTAAAAGTTTGCATATTTGGCAAAAAATCAGAGAATTAGGTATACAGAAGTTGGTTTCTCCAGTATCCACTTTTCTATGCTTCCTCTACCTAGTCATCTCCTAATTGTGAACATTTTGTTTTCCATGAGTTTATTTACTCAACAGAGTTAAGTAACTTTATTGCACAGGGACTTTTTGGTATTTATAATCTGTCCCCATATCCATTAAAGTATATTTAGTTCTAGATTTTAAGGTTCATAGGACAAGCATAGTTTTTTTTTTTTTTGAGATGGAGTCTTGCTCTGTTGCCCAGGCTGGAGTGCAGTGGCGCAATCTCGGCTCACAGCAAGCTCTGCCTCCTGGGTTCATGCCATTCTCCTGCCTCAGCCTCCCGAGTAGCTGGGACTACAGGTGCCCACCACCACGCCCGGCTAATTTTTTTTTGTATTTTTAGTAGAGACGGGGTTTCGCTGTATTAGCCAGGATGGTCTCGATCTCCTGACCTCGTGACCTGGCCAAGCACAATACCTTAATGTTGCTTGAACTATAGTATTTGTGTGTGTGTGTGTGTGTGGTGTATGCTGGATAAGCCACCTCCAAAAAATAGATCTGGAAGGAGCACACTAAAATATTACAATGATTATCATTATCTAAGGTTGATAGAAAAAGGGATCATTGATGGCATTTCTTTTACTCAATATTTTATGAAATATATATATTATGGTTATAATCAGAAAAAAAATTTAAAGAAGATGGACGGCAGACCAATATGTCTACCAATAAAGTTGGAAAAATATGCTTACATAATTCATCTGGCTAAAGACATCATTGTGATGCTGAAATCATGAAGACTGGATAAAAAAGGTTTTCAAAGGAACAGAACCATAGAGAGGTAGGCTAACCCTCCCCTAGGATACTTTTCTCCATTTAATTTGTCAGTTCTGCCTGCAGAATATGTGACTAAAAATCTAGGCTTTTCCCAGGTAGGAGCCTCCTGGTAGAGAACAGAGAAATTAGGAGAGATGGTGGTGTTCTAAGGCTGATGAGATAAAACTGAATAACGGATGAGTTTCAAAATTCAGCCAGTTTTTCTTTGAAGAGTTCTTTCAAATTCTAAAGCTTATGCAGTTGGGCAGCTAATACACTAACAGAAAGCCACTAAGAATAAAAACTGCATTTGCAGAATAGCTTCAAAACTATGAAAGCCATCATATCCAGAACTCATGAAATATTTCAAAAAGCTTTGCAAACAAAAGATACAACAAATACATAAAAATTTACGCCTATATACATCATATTAAGACTACTGAAAGTGAAAGATAAAAATATTCAAATAATATTTCTATTAGTTTGCTAGGACTGCCATTAAAAAGTACCACAAATTGGGTAGATTCAAAAATAAATAAAAATATATTTTCACACAGTTCTGGAAGCTAGAATTCCATGATCAATGTGTCCACATGGCTCCTTCTGTGAGCTATAAGAGAGAAACACATCCCAAGGTTCTTCTATCCAAGATTCTAGTCTAGCAGGGTTCTTTTGTTGTTTGTTTTGGGAATCTTCTATACTCTTTGGCTTTGGGTGCATCACCCTGATATGTGGATTTACCTTTACATGACATTCTTCCTGTGTGCATATTTGTGGCCAATCCCCACTTTTTATAAGGACACCAGTCATATGGGAATAGGGGCCCATTCCAATTCAGCATAATTTCAGGGGAACACAATTCAACCCACAACAAGGGATATTCATTGGAAGAAAAAAAAAGATAGATACATTACTTTACTTTAAAATAAAAAAAAGATATATTACAGCTAACTTCTCAACAGGAATAATGGAACCCAGAATACAATGAAATAACATCTTTTAAATTTTGAAAGAAAATAATCACCAATCCAAAATTATCTTCCCAGTGAAAATAAATAAATATATTTCATATAAGAGCATAAAATAATGTTTTTTTAACATAAAAAGTTTAAAGAATTTATTACTAGCAGACCTTGATTAAACGCTTAAAAACATTACATGAAAATTTTGAAACTATTTTAAACTGAGAGTATAGACATACTACTATAAAATGATGAACTAAGGTTGTTAGAGGGAAATTTATAGCCCTAAATAAAAGCTTGCCTTAAATAAATTTATAACTTTAAATATCAATGTAAAAGGAAAGGCTAATAATTATATTTCTTATAAACAGGGATGTGATAATGTTAAATGAAACATTGGAAATTCTATTCGAATGATATATAAAAACCACAATATGTCATGATTATATAAGTATAACCCCAGGAAAGCAAGGTTAATTTGTGATGAAAAATTTACCAGTTTAATAAAATTATATAATCATCTTAATAGATGAATGAACATATTTGCTCAAATCCCAGATCCTTTCATAATAATAAAAAAATCTTAGGAATAATGTCAGTAAGATGGCTGTCTAGAAGCCCTTAGTTCTTGTAACTACCACAAAGTCAGCAGAAACAATTAACAACTATATTTGGATAAAAATAACTAAAGGAGAGTACTGGAATATGTCAAAGGAGTACCAGAAACCATGTAGAGCACAAAAACTCTAGAAACATAGAGAACAAAAGAAAATACCTGGCCTTCACTAATTCATCCCTAAACCAGAATAAGCTTGAAACCAGGAGGAACTTCTCTCTGTGGGGAAAAAGTAAGCAATAGGATCCCAGCAGCCCCAATCAACATTTTGGAACCTAAAGTTCTCACCACTGGGGTCTTCAGCAATCCTCATGAGAATGAAGTCCAGCTAAGGGAGCTGTCTGGAGTCCATACATTTGTGCTTCCCCCATAGAAACAAACAGCCAATACTGTGCCCCTCGCTCAGTGGCCTGCAGAGCTTTTACACCATACCATTTTGGAACTGGAACTATGGCTGGCATGTGTCTTGCTACAGATTGAGTAGCCATGGAAATCTCCCATCCCTGAGGCTTAGCAGCCACTAAATCATGCTTGTCTGGTAGTCCAGTATCTCTGAGCTGGGCTGTGAACTGCTGTTATACCCTACCAAATGCGGCCAAGCACCCCTGAAGCCATGCCACCTACTCATGCCAGTCATGGCTGTGCCCTGCCTCCTCAGAGACCAAGCTGAAGTTACACATTCCTCCTGGGGAAATGGTGCCTTGGTGAAGCCACCCTATCTACCCCTCTCCAAGCCACTGCTGCACTCTGAACCATGGAACCTGAGCTAAAGCTGTGCATTCCCTCCTAGGGAAATGGTGCCTTGGTGGAGCTGATTGATATATCCCTCCTAGTTGCTGCTGCACCCTGTTCCCGTGTCAGCACTGAGGTGATGCTCTGTATCCAGGGGAAACAGTGCCTTAGCCACCCAGAGCTGTCAATCCCCTCAGCCTGAGCTGAAATGACACATTGCCTTCCAGGGAATCAGTGCGTTGGCTAAGCGGAGCAGCTATGTACACCACGATTGCACTGATAGAGCATTCTATGTCCCAGGGGAAAAAATGTAGTGGCTGAGCTGAGACACCCTGCCTTACAGTCCATAAAACTCTAACACTCTGCTTCCCTGAAGTTGGAATAGTCCCCTAAAATTTGAGCTGCTGGACATTTTCTTTGCCAAAGAGTGGAGTCATTACTGTGATGCTCCCTGCCCCCCCGGAACCCCAGCAACAGCCATACTCTACCATGTTGGAGTTCGTACTCCTGCTGCATCTGGCTTCACAGAGTTTGGGATACTGCCAAGTCTAACTATCCCAGGGTCCAGAGTCACTGCTACACAGTGCCTCATCCCCTGAGACCTGAGTTTCTAATGAACCTTGTTGGTTCTGTTTCATGCAGTGCAGCTGTACCGTGCTCCCTGGACCCAAACATCTAGAAAACCTTCTCTTCCCCAGGGACGGGCCTGTGCTGTGCCCTGCCCGTAGGGTCAGAGTTATAGCTACAACCTTGTTCCCTGGGCACAAGCGCTAGAAGATGCCTCACAGTCACAGACCATGGTTCTGTGAGGAATCCACATTCTACCCGACCACAGAGAATGAACTTGTATGTAAAAGCCCAGGTGCCACAAAAAGTTCACAAGACACTGACCTGGAACCCCTGCTTCATAGCCACTGTAAACATCTGTGCCCTGGAACCCAGCATGCTGCAGCTGCTTAGGAACCAAGTCAGACACAGCACCAAGGGAAATTTCCTTGGCTTAGTCTCCCCATTGTGGGAAATAAAAAAATAAGAGGACGATATAAACTCTTGCCACTGAGGACCCTAATAACTTGTGCTGCCACCATCACTCCTACAAACTCCTACAGCATAGGCCACTGAGGTACCCAGTTATTGCTGATGTTGATTGCAACTTAGAACCAGAGTCAGCACACCCTTCCTAACCAGGACATTAAGACCCATTTTCAGGTGAAAGTATTTCTCTATGAAAGCCACTTTCTAAAGTTTAGAAGTGGTGATTGTTACACCAGATGCACAGACATCAACACAGAGACACAAAAAAGCAATGAAAAATCAAGAAAATCTGACACCACCAAAGGAGCACAATAGTAGTCCAGTAACAGGTCCCAAAGAATTGAAAATCTACAAATTGCCAGAAAAGAAATTCAAAATAATGACCTTAAGGAAACTCAGTGAGATACAAGATAATACAGATAGACAATTTGGTTAAACCAGGAAAACTATTCATGATCTAAATGATAACCTTACCAAAGAGATAGACATCATTAAAAACAACCACACAGAAATATTGGAGTTGAAGAATTCAATGAATAAAATAAAAAAGTACAATAGAGAGCTTCAAAAAATACAGTTGAGACTAAATAAAGCAAAAGAAAGAATCTCTGAACTTGAAGACTGGTCATTTGAAATTACCAAGTCAGAAGAAAGAAAAACATAAGAATGAAAAACAGTGAAGACAGTATACAAGACTTATGGGACAGCATTAAATGAACAAACATTTGTATTATGGGAATTCCAGAAGGAAAAGAGAGAAAGATGCAGACAGAAAACTTACTTAATAAAATAATTGGTGAAAACTTCCCAAGTGTTTGAAGAGATATGGAAATCCAGATAGATGAAGCTCAAAGGTCCCCAAGCAGATTAAAACCAAAGAGGACTTCACTTAGAGACATTAATTAAACCCTCAAAAGTCAAAGACAATGAGAGGATTTTAAAGACAGCAAGAAAAAAGCAGAGTCACATATAAAGGAATTCCATTATGATATCAGTGAACTTCACAGCAGACACTGTGTAGTCCAGGAGAGAATGGGATGACATATTCCAAGTGCTGAAAGAAAAAAAAAAAGAAGACAAAAAAAACCTGGCAGCCAAGAATTCTATACCTAGCAGACCAGTCCTTCATTAATGAGAAAGGAGAAATAAAATCTTTTCCAGACAAGCAAAAGTTGAGGAAATTTATCACTACTAGAGCTAACCTACAAAACATGACTATGACAGTCCTTTGAGTAGAAACAAAGTTGTTTTTCAGAAAAGATAAACAAACCAACAAACTTTAAGCCAGACTAAGAAGTCAAAAAAGAGAGAAGACTCAAAGAAATCAAATCAAAGGTGAAAAAGAAGACATTACAACATATAACACAGAAATGGAAAGGATCATAAAAGACTACTACTATGAACAACTATACACCTACAAATTGGGAAACCTAGAAGAAAGAGATAAGTTCCTAGACACTTCTATTCAACATATTACAGGAAGTTTTAGCCAGAACAGTTAGACTAAAGAAGGAAAGAAAATGCATCCACATAGGAAAGGAGGAAGTCGAACTGTCCTGATCTGCAGGAGATGTGATCTTATATAGAAAAGCCAAAGACTCCACAAAAAACTATTATAACTAATAAACAAATTCAGTAAAGTTTCAGGATACAAAATCAACATAAAAAATTGGTAGCATTTTTACATGCTAATGATGAACTATCTGAAAAAGAAATAAAAGCAAACAACTCCATTCACAATAACTACAAAAAATAAGATACCTTGGAATAAATTTAACTAAGGAGGTAAAAAATCTCCAAAACAAAAACTATAAAACACTGATTATAAAAATTGAAGTGGACATAAATAAATGGAAAAAATATCCTGTGTATATGCAGTGGAAGAATTAGTATTGTTAAAAAGTCCATACTCCCAAAATTATTCTGCAGAGTGAGTCAATGCAATACCTATCAAAATACCAATGAATTCTTTACAGAAATAGAAAAAATAGGGATCCTAAAATTTTTATTGAACCACAAAAGACTCTGTAAATCAAAGCACTCTTGAGCAAACAAAACCAAAACCAAATAAACACAACAACACAGCTGAAGGCATCTCACTACCTAACTTCAAAATATACTACAAAGCTATAATAACAAAAAAAGCATGGTGTTGACATAAAAATGAATACATAGACCAATGGGACAGTATAGAGAGCCCAGAAATAAACCCATAGCTCTTAAGCCAACTTATTTTTGCCAAACGGGCCAAAAACTCATACTGGGGTAAGGACAGTCTTTTCAATAAATGATGGTTGGAAAATTGAATGTCTACATTCAGAAGAATAAAATTTGTCCCCTATCTCTCATATGTAAGGAATTAACTCCAAATGCATTACAGAGTTAAATGTAAGACCTCGAAACTATGAAAAAACCAGAATAAAACATAGAGTAAATGCTATATAATATTGGTCTGGGCAAAGATTTTTTTGGATAAAACCTAAAAAGCACAGGCAACAAATGCAAAAAAAAAAAAGGACAAATAAGATTATATCAAACATATCAAACTAAGAAACTTCTACACAGCTAAGAAAACCACCAACAGTGTGAAGAGACAACCTGTCGAATGGGAGAAAATTTTTGCAAACTATACTTCTGACAAGAGGTTAATAACCAGAATATACAAGAAACTGAAACAACTCAATAACAAACAAAATGGATTAAAAATGGGCAAAATATGTGAATGGATATTTTTCAAAAGAAGACATACAAATGCCCAAAAGTTACATAAAAATACTCAACATCACTGATCATCAGGAAAATGCAACTCAAAACCACAGTGAGATATCACCGCCCTCCAGATAAAATGCAAAGTTATCTAAAAAACAAAAGATAAGTGTTGCCAAGGATGTGAAGAAAAGGGAACCCTTATGCACTGTTGGTAGGAATATAAATTCGTACAGTCATTATGTTAAATATTATGGAGGTTTCTAAAATATTGAAAATAATAAATGTATACACCTACTATGTACTCTCAAAAATTAAAAATTAAAAAATTAAAAAAAAAATTGAAGTACCACATGATCTAGCAATCTCACTACTGGGTATATATTCAAAGGAAATCATTATGTCAAATAGATATCTGCACTCCCATGTTTATTGCAGCACTATTCACCATAGCTGAGATATAGAATCAATGTAAGTGTCGATCAATGGAAAAAATGAATAAAGAAAATATAATATATATACCCAATGGAATACTAGTCAAATTCAAAAAAAAAGAGGAAATTCTATGATATGCAATAACATAGATAAACCTGGAGGACATTCTGTTAAGTGAAATAAGCCAGACACCAAAAAAAAAAAAAAAAAAAAAAAAAAAACCCGCAAAATAACTTACTCCTGTGTGAAATCAAAAGTGGTTACTATCATAGGCTGGGGGTGGGGGAGAGTAGGGGGTAGAGAGAAATGGGGAGAGGTTGATCAATAGGTACACAAAGTTACAGCTAGATAAAATAAGTAAATTGTGGTGTTCCATTGCACAATATAGTGACTATAGTTAACAAAAATACATTGTACATTTCAAAATAGCTATAAGAACGGATTCTGAATGTTCTCATCACAAATAAATGTTTGAGATAAATGATTTGCTAATTACCCTGATTTGATCATTATATAACATGTACTTACACTGAAATGTCACATGGTACCCCATAAATATGTACAATTATTATATGTCAATTAAAAATACAATGAAACTTTTAAAATATTAGCAAATTATGGCTAGAAGTTACTTCTTAACCTGGTAAAGATTTTTTAAAACCTACAGCTAATTGTTTAATGTATCCCTGTTCTGTTTTTAAACTCCAATTCTCATTTTACATATTCTTGGGAAAAAAAACCTACAGCTAATATCACCTTTAATGGTGATTTACTCAGACCTTTACCCATGATATTGGGAATGATTCAAGAAATGTACACTATGATCACTTCTATCTAACTATAAATTAGAAGTTCTAGCTAGCACAATGAGGAAAGGCAAGGACATAAAAGGCATACATATTGGAATTTTAAAGAACAGAAAAAATTGTTATCCTTAGTGACTTTTATACTTAGAAAATAAAGATACCCACTTATAAATAATTAGACTTAATATGCATATTTAATAAGTTGCTATAGAAACAGTTAATATATAAAATCATTGCTATTTCTTTGTATTAGCAAGAAATAGCAAATAAAAATTTAAAAGATGTCATTTGAAAAACATCAAGAAAAAACAAATAATGCTAATGAAAAATTATTACAATTTCTACACTGAATATTGTCAGAAATAAAAGAACACTTCAGTGAACTGAAGACTATACTATGATCATAGACCAAAAGATACATATTTTTCAATATAGTATTGAAACAA
The DNA here is from genome assembly GCF_000001405.40 of Homo sapiens. NCBI lineage: Eukaryota > Metazoa > Chordata > Mammalia > Primates > Hominidae > Homo > Homo sapiens. The sequence goes on from NC_000005.10 coordinate 110,474,950, forward strand.
TTTTTCAGTGCAGTATTTTTCCCAAATTAGTTCCTAGATTCAACATTTAAATATTAGATGCTAATATTTGTGTAAAAATTCAAAAGTCCTGAAGAGCCCTAAAACAATCTTGAAGTAGAAGCCCAAATATTTTATTAAGATTCATCACACAGTCACATAAATTAAAATTATGGTATTAGTGTAAGGAAGTAGACCAATGGAACAATAGAGAGTCCAGCAACAGACCCAAATATATACAGTTATGCCAATTCTTGATTTATGACAAAAGTGATCCTGCAGTGCTATGAGGAAAGCCTGTATTTTTTTTCTGAAAAGGAAAGGCTATATTTTTAGTGAAAGTAACTGAGGCTGGATGCACTGGATATCTATTAGGAAGAAAACTTTTGATGCCTATGGAACACCATATATAAAATTTCATCCCTGACAGATTGTACTTTTAAATATGAATGATAGCTTTTAGTCAAGAGGGAGTAACAGATTTCTATTTATACTTTGATTTTTTTTTTTTTTTTTTTTTTTTACAAAAACCAGTTCTCAATATATTGGACATCAAACAGTGAAGGATAAAAATCTCCAAAAATGGCAAACAAATGAGGTCCAATTGTCTCAGCTTACTAACCAGGGAAAACTGCCAATCTCCAAAGCTAGGAGAATCTAGATGGAGCTCAGCAAATTCCTGAAGTGAAGAGATAGAGCTATAAGTACAAGGAGGCCAAAGTGGCTAGTTTGTTTGCAAGGTAGTAGAGAGTTCAGGTGAAAGCCTCCCAGAGAAAGAACTCTGCAGATATCCAGAGTTCCCCACTCAGCTGAGTACTCATTAATTGCAGCACAAGCACCTGAGGACACTACCAGGGTCTGGGGAAAGAACCACTAAAAAAAAGTACAGCAAACAATCCTTGAGGTTCACACAGGGCCGGAAAAATCAATTTCTAACCAAAGTGGAAAATTTCATAGTTCACAGACATCAGGTAGAGTACTTAGATTTTTCCTCAGTAATGGGACAAAAGAATAAAATTGACAGAACACTTTCAACACAGAATCGTTTTTGTTGTCTTTGATAAAGACCATATATTAATATGGCTTTATTACTAACTCTGTAGGTATTGTTGGGCAACCCATTTCAACACTGAATTCTTTAGTTTTTTTAATATATAATGTCATAATTGAAAGGAAATATTACTAGTATATGTTATGGGCTGCTTTTTGTTCCCCTATAATTAATATTCTGCAGCCCTAATTCACAGTATCTTATGCTGTGACTCTACCTGGAGATGGGGCTTTTAAAAGGTAATTAATGTTAAATGAAGTCATATGGATGGGGTCTCATCCAACTTGACTGGTGTCCTTAAAAGGAAATTTTGATACAAAAATAACAACAGGTGTGTGAGCACAGAGAAAAGGACCTGTGAGGGGTACAGCCAGAAGGCAGCTATTTTACAAGTCAAAGAAAAGGACTCCAGAGGAAAACAAACCTGCCAACCCCTTTATCTTGAACTTCCAGCATCTGGAACCATGAGTAAATAAATTTCTCTTGTTTCAGTATCCCATACTGATTTTGTTATGGTATCCCTAGCCAACTAATGTATGTGATCCTGAAATATAGAGTTCATAATAAAATTCCAAAAAAATGGATTTGTGATTAATATAGAAAAATGTTATTGTAATGATTCTAGATCTTCTATTCATACAAAGAATTAAGTTGACAGTGGATTGCCTATGAATAATCATGGTAATGAACAACCTAATGACAAACAGTACCTCAAGTCTGCTAGCATTTCCCAGATGTAATTATTACAGCACGTTTGGACATTCTAATGTTTTTATGAATGGTGGGAGGAATGTGTGTGCTTGATTTGCATTTTTGTGAAAAATAACAGCTTTATTAGTTACCTTATTTCTTGTATTTTGAAAAAGGTTACGATTTTAATTTTCAGATTTCTTGGCCCTTATAACACCAACAGACAGAGGATGATAACGTAGATGGTGTTTAGAAACATGAAATTCCCTTAGTATTAAGACAGCCAGCAAATGGGACAAAAACGGTATGTGAAATCAGATCTCCTTTTGGGAATAAATTAACTGTATGACTGGGCTCTATTTTAATATTTAGACAAGGTTTTTCAAAACAAACCTGAGGCCTGTTTCAGATGTTAAAGAACTGGCATTGCTAAATGAAACACATTATTCTAAACATATTCAACTGAATACATACCACTATTTTGGCATTAATGTAACTTCTACAGAAAATAGAAATAAATGGTTTCCATTTCCCACTGGGAAAAATGCTTGGTTAACCGTAGATGGTTGCACTTCCATAAAAAGCACCAAACTATCTTTAACCATGGATCTTTTTCATATTATGGTAGTACCTAGAAATAAGAAATGATGCCCTAGATTACTGATATCAACTACTATTCATCAATTATTATTCAAAGTAACAAATCTAGTTTTGTAAATGCCTTAGTAAAGCATACTGAGAAGCAGTCCAGCTTTCTTTGTATTATTGTGGTTTTTTAGTCAAATAATTATATGTAATTATTATGTTTTATCTGTCAGCAAGTTGAAATATGAAAGTATAATATTAACAATAATATTACACAAACTGCTGTAAATACATCAATCACACCGTCCTTTCATGGTTGTGTTAACTATTACTCTCTTAAGCCTCCATCTATTCAAAAACCTCTATTCCCCACACCTCCAAGTTCAGTTTCCTAAAACATCTGTATCTTCTTTTATAAACTGCTTACAAAAAAAAATTCATAATGATGATAAACCATTGTCAACTTACTACATCAACATCCATCAAATGAATTGATTACATCTACATGCTCATTTTGTATAATAGAAATACAATCAATCACTGCAGTAAAATACTATCATGGGATTAATGTCTTCTACTCTGAAAATGTAAGTTTTGCCTTTGGCTTGGTATTTTATGAAGCAGCAAGAGACCATTATCCTGTGACAACATTTTATTTCATTGACATCTCAAATATATTCTTAATATCTTTTATATTTATGTTCAGTTTAGAATGAGAGGATTAGAATAGGTGTTATTATAGTGGAAAGGCATTCATTACTACATTCTGAATAGCATTACCATGTGACATGTCTCAGCCATAAGAATCTCTTGGCAAGAATTGCATCTTTTATTCTTATGTATTCACAGCAAAGCTGTCTGTATCCCACGCTATGAATTTTTCCTGCGTTAATCATCAACATCGACCCAGTTTTGCTGCTATATGGTTCTCACTTTAAGTTATATACTATGTAAATCAATCTGATCACTAAAATGTTAATGAAATATTAAAAAGATAAAGTTTTTAAACCTTAAGCCAGATAATAACCATAAATTTAAATTCTTACTCTACTTTAAAATAGATTTCTTCCTTTCCTTTTGAAATCACTGTCCTCAGCAGTTTTCCACACTCTAAATACTAAGGATTTGCCTATGCATGTAAAATGGAGAATTGCGATAATTGTCTCTATAACTCAAAGTAAGGGAAACACAACTTCATCTGAAATGTCTAAGCAACTGAGGCCATTTTTGGGCTTGGATTATCTAGAAAATGACTTCAGTTTTCCAACATATTTTGCATGAGTATATATAAAAACAGATACAGGGTAAATTATACAAAATAAGATTCAGAGTGTTAAACGTGAAGTGGAAGATAGAATAAGAAACTATGAAAATTCATTTATGGGCATTGATGTTGAAATTCTGTATGTACAGCAAAGGGAATTAACACAATTTTCAAGATGTTAATATCATAAGGCAATGTTTTGAGTTTACTGAGCTTTTAAGGTGCCAATGTTGCCTGTTTGTGTTAGACCACTGCTGTAATTACATTTCAGCTAGCTAATGAAATGCTAAGCAGTGTTTTGTCTATGCATTGTTGTGAGAGAAGTAGAAGTGTTTTGATTATGAGCAGATGGAGAAATTGATTTTTTTTTTTTTTTTTTTTTTTGCTCTTTCTTTGTGGGTTAAGAATAAGGTAGTGAAAAGCCATGGATTGGTATCCTTGATTGGGACTTAAAGTGTTACTGAGTCTGCGGTTAGGTCTACATTACTGTGGTAGAACTAGAAATTCCTGAAAAAGTTGTTGGCTGCTTCTAATATACCACATCTAGTCTATATATAGCTTCGTGACTTCCCTTTCCCCCTAAAATATTCAAGCACAACTCATGACTCATAGTAAGTGATGTTTTTAAGGGCTGAGGTATTAATTGATTTGTTTTCTTTTTGCCTACTTGCCCCTGCCAAAATACATGTAGATAGAACATATAAAAACATAGAAAAAATTTGTTTTAATCATTTGACTTAGATATTTTTCTCCATGTAGACCCAACTGAATTATAAGATAAATATTTAGGTCATAAAACATACATACACAACTTGATGAATTATCACAAAGTGAATGCATTCTATTAAACAACAACCAGATAAGGAAATAAAAAAAATTACCAAAATAACAGAAAGCCCTTCATGTCTCTCTAGTCACTAATACCTTCTCAAATACAACCTCTATGCTGCCTTATAACACTAGAGATTACCTGTGATGGTTTTTTAACTTTATACAAACTGTATTATAAAGTATATATCATTTTTATTTGATTCTTTGGATCAACAGTATTTTGCATGTAATTATAGTCTGATCATTCTCATTTTATTAATGAATTTACCACAACTTACTTATTTTACTATCAATTGATATTTTGGGTTTTTTTAGTTGACCACTAATTTTTACTTAATAGTCTCTGTTTTGTGGTGGTTATTCATTAAATGCATCATTTTCAAAATACAGCTGTTGTCAGTGTCTGATGAGACACTACTGAATACAAGTTCCATTCTACATGTAGTCAATTGATGTATCCCCAAATCCAGTACATTTCTGTAAAGAAGTCACTTAAATTCACACCCACATGTTTTTGGTGTGTATTATACTGTTATTGAAATACAATATAATTTTTTTAACATACGACTTTTTATTCAGCAGAGAAAAAAATACATAATTTCATTTTTTTTCCTCCTGTAAATATGTTCAGTTGATGGTATTAACACTAGTTCTTTATCATATATAACTTTCAGCATTTGTCTTTGAAATAACTACTCATTATTTCTGCATCCTTCTTTTAATTCTCAGTGATATTTAAAGCTTATTTTATATGCTATAGGAATAAAAAGGGAAAGCTAATGTTAAGTAAGCATAGCAGTCTACTTCAGTGTTACTTAAATAAATAGCAGTGGGAGAAAAAGAAGCTTCTATATTCTCCATGCAAAAAAAAATGATCTTCAGAGATTAAGAAAAAATAACCATTTTATTTTTTATATTCATCTTTTACTAAAATAGTTAAATGGTATATTTTCATTTATCCTTTATTTATATGCAAATGTCAGTCTTTTGAACAACTCACCTCACTGGTGTGAAGAAGTTACAGATGTTTCTTCTCTAAAGAAATTAATGACAGACAATGTAAACAATAAACAGAGAGTTCATATTAAGTTATTGACCATACCTGAGTAAAAGATTTAGATTTTGTTTGGTTTGGTTGGTTGTTTTTTAAGAGATTGCTTGAGAAAGGATTCTGCTAGATTTCTATTTTTTCCTAAAGTTCATGGTGCACTTCTTGCAATGGAAATGGTTTCCCACCCATTCCTTTTGATACTGTTGGGAACTGTGTGTTTGAACTGGTTCTCTATAGTATTGCTCAAGATGCAAAAATGGCAGGCAGATTTCAAAGATGATTCTATTTTATACTATAGGAATGAGATGTGAATAGTGAGGGCATAAAAGACCAACTATTCCTGATGTCATTCAAAAAAGTATCAGTCAAAATAAATACTCCATTTATACTTGTATTTATACAAGAAACATAAATATCAACCTATTCCATGATAGCATATACACTAAGGAGTGGTCAGTAGTAACAAATAATAAACAACCTACATTGAATTCAAATAACTGCTTCATTGACTTGTATTCATTTTATACTATAAATTATATGATTAATGTATACAATTTTGTTTTCTGTATCTAGTTAATAGGCTTGGTTAGTTGCTATTTGCTATTTTAATTACTCATACATAACTCATAATGATTTGATAAACAGATATTTTTAAATTTGCCATGTGAATCAACTGAAGTGATGCTAATAGTCAATCTTAGACCTGGTATTTCTAGGCAGAATATAATATATTCCTTAATGTTTATAGATTTAAAGTATATGTTACTTTCTCTAAACATTCATTATGATGTTAAAATTTTACTTGTAAGCTGTTCAATGTTAAATTGCACTGTTATAGGTGCTAAAATGACTTTTCAGATTATTATTTCATTAAAAAGACAAATACGACAAAAGGAAAAGCAACATAAGTCAGCAAATCAAATATCCATTCCTAGATCTGTTGTTGAAGAGCTAAATATCTTCCTTTGGAAAAAACTTTGTCTTTGGGCAACAGATTTTATATTTAAAATGAATAAATTGGCCACTGGGTTATGACAATAGAAAAAAATGCTCTCCCTCTTCCCCCTTTTATTAGCAAATCCCTGAAAATAAGTACCTCTCCCCTCCGCACACACACATAAACCACAAATATCTAATATCAAAGCTGGAAAAAAGAGGTAGTGCCATTAAATGCTCATCATGTGCAACATTTTGACTCTGAGAAATAGAAAGATATTGGCAGGTTAAAGCAGCAAATCACAGTTTCAAAATATAAAAGCATACTACTTCAGAACATGGGAAAGCACTTAGAGCTAGTGTTTGAGACAAGAGTAGACTTTGAAGCAAACATTTGGGTGACTCGTTGGTCTTTTACATCCAGGTTCTTCTATCATTCTATCCACCAAATACTGCTAAGCTGTGGAACCAGTAAGTATAAGAACACAGGCTAAAAAACTAAGGCTGTTCCCTGGGATTCTGGTGAAAGCTAATAAGAATAGGCTCTCAAAAAGAGACAACTGGCTCTTAGCGCACACTAGCTAGCAATATTTCTCATTCTTATCCCAAAATAATAAGAACCAAGATTTATTACAGAAACTAAATATTCTAAACAAACTAAAAATTTTTTTAATTAAAAGGTAAACATTAAACCAAGAATCATAATATATTTGAGTCAAAGAACCAAAGCTCCAAACAAAATCTAACACACTAGAAGTAAAATTAATAGAATAGACAAATAAGACAGGATATCACATCCAAACAACAAGAGCAGACATTTATAATAAAGCTCCAATTAGAGACATCAGTTCCCAGAAATATAAAGTAACCTTAATACCATCCAGAAAGAAAATTTACTGAAACATGAAAGAAAATTTTTTGAAACATTAAAAAAAATTTAATTTGGCCTGGCATCGTGGCTCACTGCTGTAATCCCAGCACTTTGGGAGGCCAAGACAGGCAGATAACCTGAGGTCAGGAGTTTGAGATGAGCCTGGCCAACATGGCAAAACCCCGTCTCTACTAAAAATACAAAAATTAGCCAGGCGTGGTGGTGGGTGCTTATAATCCCAGCTACTCGGGAGGCTGAGGCAGGAGAATCACTTGAACCCAGGAGGCGGATGTTGCAGTGAGCCGAGATTGCGGCACTGCACTCCAGCCTGGGCGACAAGAGTGAAACTCCATCTCAAAAAAAATTTATATATATATATATATTATTTTTAATTAATGATGAGCTTACATAACCAAAAGCAGAGAGAAGCAAATGAATTTAGCATAAAGTTTAGAAGTAGATTTCTGCAACTAAACCCGTAAACATGAATGAGTAAAAATAAATAAAAGAAGCATCTAGCTAAATCATTAGAAAAGGAACAACAAAACAAGTAGGTAGTGGGATTATATATTTAAAGTGCTAAAACAAAAAAGTTTATCAACCAAGAATTCTATATCCAGAAAAAACTTTCTTCAAATGCTAAAGAGAAGTAGACAAAAATGTAGAGAATTTTCCCATGGCACACTTTCCTACAAGAAATACTAACAAGAGTCCAGGATGAAAATGAGCAGACACTAATTTGAATCAACATGAAGAAATAAAGTACACTGCTAAAGGCTGTATAGTACTACATAAGTATAAAAGTATAAATGTATTTTTGTTGATAATACCTTTTTTTTCTATCTTAGTTTAAAAGCCCTGCATAAAGCAGTAATTATAAATCTATGTTGTTGGGCATACAATGTATAAAGATGAAATTTACATGATAATAACAGCACAGTAGAGTAGGGAGCAAATAGAGCTAGCAAAGAGCAAAGAATGTGTGCACTGTTGAAATTAAATTGGTATCAATAAGAACTAATTTTTTATAAGTTATAATATAAATTGTAACCCCCAGGGCAGCTGCTTAAAAAAACCTTGAAAATGGTAAAATGAGATAACATCTCACACAACTCTGAATACCTAATATTAAAAAGTCAAAAAATAATAGATGTTGACAAAGTTACAGGGTAAAGGGAATGTTTATATACACTGTTGGTGGGAATGTAAATATGTTCAACCATTTTGGAAATAAGTTTGAAGATTTCATCATTCTCAGCAAACTATCACAAGGACAAAAAACCAAACACCGCATGTTCTCACTCATAGGTGGGAATTGAACAATGAGAACACATGGACACAGGGAGGGGAACATCACACACCGCGGCCTGTTGTGGGGTGGGGGAAGGGGGGAGGGATAGCATTAGGAGATATACCTAATGTTAAATGATGAGTTAATGGGTGCAGCACACCAACATGGCACATGTATACATATGTAACTAACCTGCACGTTGTGCACATGTACCCTAAAACTTAAAGTATAATAAAAAAAAAAGAATGTAAAACAGAACTCCCATTTGACCCAGCAATTTCATTACTGGGTATATACCCCAAAGGAAAATTGATATTGTTCTACCAAAAAGACACATGCACTTGCATGTTCATTATAGCACTATTCACAATAGCAAAGGCATGGAATTAACCTAAATGTTCATTAACGATGGATTCAGTAAAGAAAGTGTGGTATATATACAGTATGGAATACTATGCAACTATAATAAGGAACAAAATCATGTCCTCTGCAGCAACATGGATGCAGCTGGAGGCCATCATTCTAAGTGAATTAACATAGGAACAGAAAACCAAGTACCACATGTTCTCATACATATAAGTGGGAGCTAAACATTAAGTACACATGGATATAAAGATGAAAACAATAGATACTGGAGATTACTGGGGGGAAGGGGACTGAGTGTTGAAAAACTAATGATTAGGACTATGCTCACTACCCAAATGACAGAATCGTTTGTATGCCAAACCCCATCAACACACAATTTACCCATTAAACAAACCTGCACACGTAGCCCCTGAACCTAAGAGTAAGAAAATAAAGTTTAAAAAGTGAAAAATCGAAAAAATATAATGTTTAAAGAGTTTAATGCACTAAAAAAATACCTATTTAACAAAAAAGGAGGCAGCAATACAAAGAGGAACAAAAAGACATACAACATATAGAAAAAAATGAAAAATGGCAGATATAAATTCTGCCTTATCAGTCATATTAAATATAAATGGATTCAACATTCCAATTAAAGGCAGAGACTGGAAGAAATAATTTTTAAAAATATTCCCAATACATGCTATTAACGAGACACACTGTAGATTGAAAGACACATATAGGCCGAAAGTAAAAAGATAAAATACACAAACAGTAATCAAAATAGAGCGGGAGTGTCTAAACTAATATAAAACAGACTATAAGACAAAAATTGCTACTAGAGGAAAAAAAGATATTTAATAATAATAAAGTGGTGAACTCGTCAATATAACAGCAAGTGTTATATATTCTCATAAAAATATATAAGTTATAAATATGTGTACATCTAATAATAGCCTCAAAATATATGAAGCAAAAGTTGACAGAATTAAAAGAGTAACTGACAATTCAACAACGGTCAAGACCTCAACACCCTACTTTCAGCATTATATAAAAGAACCACAATGTGATACCATCTTACTCCTGCAAGAATAGCCTTAATAAAAAAAAAATTGAAAAACAGTAGATATTAGCATGGATGCAGTGATCAGGAAACACTTCTACATTGTTGGTGGGAATGTAAACAAGTATAGCCACTATGGAAACAGTGTGGAGATTCCTTAAAGAACTAAAACTAGAACTACCATTTGATCCAGGAATCCTACTACCCAGAAGAAAAGAAGTCATTTTCCAAAAAAGATACTTGCACAAATATGCAGATAACAAGATAAAACAACCATGCAGCTAACTAACAAGGAACAGAAGACTTGAAAAATACCTACTAGGCGTAAGTAACAATGTATACAGAATATTCCACCATCAACAGCAGAATATACATTCTTCTCAAGTGCTTTATTTTTTCCATAAGTTATTGGTGTACAGGTGGTATTTGGTTACATGAGTAAGTTGGTGATTTGTGAGATTTTGGTGCACCCATCACCTGAGAAGTATACACTGCACCGTATTTGTAGTCTTTTAATCCCTCACCCACCACCCCCCTAACTCTTGCAGGCCAAGTCCCCAAAGTCCATTGTATCATTCTTATGCTTTTGCATCCTCATAGCTTAGCTCCCACATATCAGTGAGAACATACAATGTTTGCTTTTTACATTCCTGAGTTGCTTCACTTAGAATAATAGTCTCCAATCTTATCCAGGTCACTGCAAATGCTGTTAATTCATTCTTTTTTATAGTTGAGTAGTATTCCATCGTATATTATATACACTACAGTTTCTTTATCCACTTGTTGATTGATGGGCACTTGGGTTGGTTCCAAAATTCCAATTTTGCAATTTGAATTGTGCTGCTATAAATATGCGTGTGCAAGTATCTTTTTTAGAAAATGACTTATTTTCCTCTGGGTAGATACCCAGTGGTGAGATTGTTGGATCAAATGGTAGTTCTAATTTTAGTTCTTTAAGGAATCTCCACACTGTTTCCATAGTAGCTGTATTAGTTTACATTCCCACCTAGCCGTGTAGAAGTGTTTCCTGATCACTGCATCCATGCCAATATCTACTGTTTTTCAATTTTTTTTTTATTATGGCCATTCTTGCAGGAGTAAGGTGGTATCACTTTGTGGTTTTGATTTGCATTTCCCTGATCATTAGAGATGTTGAGCATTTTTTTCATACATTTGTTGGCCATTTGTATATCTTCTTTTGAGAACTGTCTATTCATGTCCTTAGCCCACTTTTTAACGGGAGGTTTTTTTTTTTCCATACTGATTTGAGTTCATTGTAGATTCTGGATATTAGTCCTTTGTCAGATGTATAGATTGTGAAGATTTCCTCCCACTCTGTGGGTTGTCTGTTTACTCTGCTGACTGTTCCTTTTGCCATGCAAAAGCTCTTTAGTTTAATTAGGTCCCAGCTATTTATCTTTGTTTTTATTGCATTTGCCTTTGGGTTCTTGGTCATGAAATCCTTGTTTAAGCCAATGTCTAGAAGGGTTTTTCCAGTGTTTTCTCCTAGAATTTTTATTTTCAAGTTTTAGGGTTAAGTCCTCAATTCATCTTGAGTTGATTTTTGTATAAGGTGAGAGATGAGGATCCAGTTTCATTCTCCTACATGTGGCTAAGCAATTATCCCAGCACCATTTGTTGAAAAGGGTATCCTTTCCCCACTTTGTTTTTGTTTGCTTTGTCAAAGATCAGTTGGCTCTAAGTAGTTGGGTTTATTTCTGCATTCTCTATTCTGTTCCATTGGTCTATGTGCCTATTTTTACACCAGTGCCATGCTGTTAATGTGACTATGGCCTTATAGTATAGTTTGAAATCAGGTAGTGTGATGCCTCCAGATTTGTTCTTTTTGTTTAGTCTTGCTTTGGCTATGCAGGCTCTTTTTTGGTTCCATATGAATTTTAGAATTTTTTTTTTCTAATTCTGTTTAGAATGATGGTGGTATTTTGATGGGGAATGCATTGAATTTGTAGATTGCTTTTGGCAGTCTGGTCGTTTTCATAATGATTCTACCCATTAATGAGCACGGGATGTGTTTCCATTTGTTTGTGTCATCTATGACTTCTTTCAGCAGTGTTTTGTAGTTTTCCTTCTAGAGGTCTTTCACCTCCTTGGTTAGGTATATTCCTAAGAATTTTTTTTTTGTAGCTATTGTAAAGAAGACTGAGTTCTTGATTTGATTCTCCACTTGGTCTTTGTAGGTGTACAGAAGAGCTACTGATTTGTGTACATTAATCTTGTATCCAGAAACTTTGCTGAATTCTTTTCTCAGTTCTAGGAGCTTTCTGGAGGAGTCTTTAGGGTTTTCAAGGTAAATGATCATATCTTCAGCAAACAGTGACAGTTTGACTTCCTGTTTAGGATTTGGATGCCCTTTATTTCTTTCTCTTGTCTGATTGCTCTGGCTAGGACTTCCAGTAATATGTTGAAGAAGAGTGGTGAGAGTGGGCATCCTTGTCTTGTTCCAGTTCTCAGAGGGAATGCTTTCAACTTTTCCCCATTCGGTATTATGTTGGATGTGGGTTTGTCATAGATGGCTTTTATTACATTGAGGTAGGTCCCTTGTATGCCAATTTTGCTGAGAGTTTTCATTGGAAAGCGATACTGGATTTTGTCGAATGCTTTTTCTGCATCTATTGAGATGATTATGTGATTTTTGTGTTTAATTCTGTTTATGTGGTGTATCACATTTACTAACTTGCATGTTAAACCATCCCTGCATCCCTGGTATAAAACCCACTTGATGATGGTGGATTATCTTTTTGATATGTTGTTGGATTCAGTTGGCTAGTATTTTAAGAATCTTAGCATCTATATTCAAAGATACTGATCTGTAGTTTTCTTTTTTGGTTATTTCCTTTCCTGGTTTTGGTATTAGGGTGATTCTGACTTCATAGAATGAATTAGGGAGGGTTCCTTCTTTCTCTATCTTGTGGAATAGCGTCAAAAGGATTGGTTCCTTCTTTCTCTATCTTGTGGAATAGTGTCAAAAGGATTGCAACCCCCATCAAAATACCACCATTCTTCTTTGAATGTCTGGTAGAATTCTGCTGTGAATCCATCTGGTCCTTTTTGTTGGTAATTTTTTAATTACCATTTCAGTCTTGCTGCTTGTTATTGGTCTGTTCAGGGTATCTAATTCTTCCTGATTTAAGCTAGGAGGGTTGTATTTTTCCAAGAATTTATCCATATCTTCTAGTTTTTCTAGTTTATGTGCATAAAGGTGTTCATTGCAGCCTTGAATGATCTTTTGTATTGCAGTGGTGTCCGTTTTAATATCTCCTGTTTTGTTTCTCAGTGAGGTTATATGGATTTTCTCTCTTCTTTTCTTGGTTAATCTTGCTAGTGGGCTATCAATTTTATTTATCTTTTCAAAGAACCAGCATTCTCCAGGATAAACCATATGGCAGGCAACAAAACAGGCTACAATACATTTAAAAGGATTAAAGCACAGAGCATCTTTTTAACATACAACAGAATAAAATTAGAAATAAATAAAAAAAGGAAATTTAGAATTCATACGTATGGAGAATTAAGCAATACTTTACTAAATAAGCAATTGGTTCAAGAAGAAATAACAATGAAAATTGGAAAATACTTTGAAATAAATTGAAATTAAAACACAACAGACCAGAATTTTAGTGTTTTTATTTGCTAACCCTTGGAAGAAAACATAACAAAATTATTAAACAGTAAAGTTCAAGTCAACGACTTAACCTTCCACCATTTATGAAACTAAGAAAAGTAGAGCAAGATAAACCTAAAGCCAGAAGTAATGAAATAAGCTTAGAGTGGAGATAAATAAAATAGAAAATAGTAAACAATAGAGAAAATCAATAGAACGAAAAGTTGGTTCTTTGAAAGATCAGCAAAAATGACAATCCTTTAGCTACATTAACCTAGCATAAAAAATAGAAGTTTCAAAATTTTTAAATGAGAATGAAAGAGGAAACATTACTACTAACTTGCATAAATCAAAAAGTTTATAAGGGAACAGTATGAACAATCATATGGCAACAAAACACATAACCTGATTGAAATAGATGAATACCTAGAAACCAAAAACTAGAGAAAATGACACGAAAAGAAATAGAAAACCTGAATAGACTTATAACAAGTAAAGACACCAAATGAGTAACAAAAAAGAAAGTCTCAAAAGCAAAAGTGCAGCATAGAATGGCTTTATGAGTAAATTCTACCAGATATTTAAAGAATTAACATCATTCTTTCATAAATGTCTCACTTAATTCTATGAGGCTAGTATTTTCCGGATACCAAAGCCAGGTAAATAACTAATTTTTCAAAAGATCTATATATATTATAAATATAGAAATAAAAATCTTAAGTAAAATACAAGCAAACCAAATCTGGCAACATATTAAAAGAATTATACAGCATGACCAAATTGAGTTTATCCCAGGAATGAAAGGTGGTCTAACATCTGGAAATTAATGTAATAAAACATACCAACAGAACAATGAACTAAATGACATGATCTCAACAGACACAGAAAAAGCATTTGACAAAATCAACACACTTTATAATAAGAGAACACTTATCAAAATAGGAATGTAAGGCACGTCTTCAACCTGATAAACAGTATATGTGAAAAAGCCAAAAGATAACATCACACGTAATGGTGAAAGACTGAAAGCTTTCCCATTAAAATCAGGAATAAGGAAAATATATCTATTCTTGCTACTTCTATTCAATATTGTACTGGAGGTTCTAGCCTGGCAATCAGGCAATAAATAAATGGTATTTAGATTAGAAATGAGGAAGTTAAACTATTTTTGTTTGCAGATGGTATGATCTCATATATAAAAAATCCTAATATGCACAGATAGAAAAATGTTAGCACTAATAAATGAATTCATCAAGGTCACAGGAAACAAGGTCAATATATACAACTTAATTGTATTGGCTGGGTTCTGTGGCTCATGCCTGTAATCCTAGCACTTTGGAAGGCCGAGGCGGGCGGATCACAAGGTCAAGAGATTGAGACCATCCTGGCCAACATGGTGAAATCCTGTCTCTACTAAAAATAGAAAAATTAGCTGGGTGTGGTGGCGCGTGCCTATAGTCTCAGCTACTCTGGAGGCTGAGGCAGGAGAATTTCTTGAACCCAGGAGGCAGAGGTTGCAGTGAGCTGAGATCACACCATTGCACTCCAGCCTGACTGAGTGAAACTCCGTTTCAAAAAGAAAGAAAGAAAGAAAGAAAGAAAGAAAGAAAGAAAGAAAGAAAGAAAGAAAGAAAGAAAGAAAGAAAAAGTTAATTGTATTGCTATACACTATCAATCACTATCAATGAACAGTATGACAAAGAAAATTCAGAATGTTCAATTTGCCATAGTATCAAAAATAATACTTGGAAGTAAGGTTAACAAGAGAAGTACAAGACTTATACACTAAAAATTACAGAATATCATTGAAAGGGATTAAAGACCAAAATGTATGAAAAGACATTCTGTATTTATGAATTAGAACACTTGATGTTAAGATAATAATACTCTGTGAATTAATCAACCTATTCCACACAAACCTTTTCAAAACACAAGCCTTCCATTTTGGAGAAACTGGCAAGTTGATTCTAATATCATATGGAAATGCAGTGGAACAAGAATAGCCAAAACAGTCTTTAAAAAGAATAATAAAACTTTGAAGACTCTACACTTCTTTAATTTCAAACTGTGGGACTGACATAAGCATAGAGGCAGATCAATTGAATAGAATTGAGAGTCTAGAAATAAACCATCCATTTATGAGCAATTGATTTTCAACAAAGGTGCCAAGACAATTGAAAGGAATATAAAATTCAATAAATAGTGCAAGGACAACTTGATATCCACTTACAAAAAAATGAATGTGGACTCTTATCTCACATCATATCAGAAGTTAACTAAACTGCATCAAAGACCTCACTGTAAAACTAAAACTATAGCTAAAACTATACATCTCTCAGAAGAAAAATAGGCGTAAACCTTTGTTACCTTGGATTAGGCAATAGTTACCTAGATACATCACCAAAAGCAAAAACACACAAAATAAATAAATTTCACTTCATCAAAACTAAAAACTTTTGTACTTAAGATAAACCCTATCAAGAAAGTGAAAATCCACACAATGGAAAATAGTATTTGCAAATCATATATCTGATAGGGGACTTGTGACCAGAATATACAAAGAGTTTTATGACTCAGTGATAACAGACAACTAACCCAATTAAAAAGTGGACAAAGGATTTAAATAGATTTTTTTAAAGAAGGTAAACACATGGTCCATATGAACATAAAAAGACATTCAACATCATTCATCATTAGGGAAATGAACATTAAAAACACAGCAATATACCTTTCACATTCTTTTTGGTAGCTTTAATTAAAAAGACCGATAATAACAACTTTTAACATGCATGTGGATAATTGGAATTATACATTGCTGATGGGTATATAAAATGGTGCAGTTGGTTTGAGAAAATTTAACAGTTTCTCAAAAAGTTAAACTCTATGTAAAATGTCCAGAATAGGCAAATCCACAGAAAAGAAAGTAGATGAGTGGCTGCCAGGGACTGGGGGAAGAGAAGAATTGGAGAATATTTCCTAATGGTAAAAGATTTCATTTTAGATTAATCAAAATAATCTGAAATTAGGTTGAGGTAGTAGTTATACAATTGTTTTAATATACTAAAAAAGTACTGAATTGAGATATATTTTGTGGTACATGAATTATATTTCATCTTTTTAGAAACCTTCCATTAATTCAAATTAGATGGAAGGAGGTTGTAAAAGTGAGAGCAGAAATTAAATAAACTAAAAAACAAGGTTAAAGACGAGGAATAAAATCAAAATTTGGCCCTCTGCAAAGATTTAAAATATTATTTTGGTGAGATTTTTAAAGTAAACAAATTTGAAATATGGGAAAAGTAAGTAATACTATGAAGGAAAAAAGTAATAGAGATTAAAATAAATTATAAATAGAGATTACTATAACCATTATATATCAATAAATTTCAGTCTAAACAAAATAGACAAATTACTTAAAAAATTAAGAAGCAATTTATAATATTCCTATTAACTAAAAATACTTCAGTGCAATCATACAGACAATTGCCAGCAAACATGCAAAAAAAACAGATCATTCCAATTGTACAAAAACCTTGAGAGAATAATACCTAATGCTAAATGACGAGTTAATGGGTGCAGCACACCAACATGGCACATGTATACACATGTAACAAACCCGCACATTGTGCACATGTACCCTAAAACTTAAAGTATAATAATAATAAAATTAAAAAAAGAATATCTTAGATAATAAAAGCACATAATATTATTAACAGAAAGGAAAATTACAGGGTAATCTTATACATGCACATAAATGCAAAATGTAACAAAACATAAGTAAACTGAATATGGTAACAATTAGGAAAATAAAACATCTTTACCAATTTGGAGTTTTACCAGGAGTGTTAGTGTCATCAAATGTTACATAACGAATCAAAAATTTTAAAAATATATCTTATTAATGGATAATATGATTTGATAAAATTAAATCACTATTCATGATAAGACATCATGGTTAACTAAAAACTAAAGATTACTTCATATTCTGACAAATCACATCTACCAAAATACTACAACTATTCTTATGTCAAAAGGTTCAAACCATTCTGTTTACATTAGGAAAAAAGACACTATTATTGCTTCCATTCAAAATTTAATATAGTACCCAAATATGTGGTGAGTCAAGAAAAACATGCTCTAAATATTTGAAAGGAAGAATAACACATTCTCATTAGTCACAAATTTCACTAAGAACCAATACTCTACAGAGAGATATTAGAGATTCTAGAAAATTGATTATATATAAGGTAATTAGACCAAAATATATTATCTTTTATGCATTTGCAACTCTTAGAAGACACTTAAAAATTTTTGAAGCCACATTTACTGATTATAAGTTAAATGATATAATGTCAGGGATTTACCTCAAAATGATGTAGGGGTTGGTGAGAGAGAATGAGAGGCAGTACACATAAAACAAGATGTGCTATGATTGATAACTATTAAAGCCAGGAGTCATAGAAAAGGGGATAAATTATAATACATTCTCTACTTTTCTACCTGTCCTAAATTTTTTATAATGACAATTTGTAAACAACAACAACAAAACACCCATACAAGAAAAAAAATTAGAATTAAATCCCCCCAGCATAAGCTAATCCTTATGAAGGAAATCTTAAAACTTTTTAAAAAATTTATTTTGAAATTTATAATTTGATGAAAAAACACCATGTTCCTAGAGATGAAAACTTAGTATCATAAAGGAGAAAATTTTCCAAAATTAATTAATAAATTTAATGCAATTTAAATCAGAATCCTTAAAAGCTATTTCAAGAAACACCAGTCTAATTCCAAAATGTGTACAGAAGATTACACGGGTCAATAGCCAAGACATTGAAAAAAAAAAAAAGTAAAATTGTCTTACAAATTATAAAGACTTACTATAAAATTGAAGTAAATAACTAAAATGACATGATATTAACATAGAAATTAATACATTCACAAATGGGACAAAGCAGAGAGCCCATATGAAGGCCATTATTCTACATGGAAATTTGATATGCAATATATATGGCATTGGCTGATCAATGTGAATGAACAATTGTCAATAAATGGTGTGTAAATATTGGCTACTCTTATGGAAAAAATAACCTTAGATTTCTATGGAATGCCATGACTTCAAGTCTTTTAATGGCTTAAATATGAGCAGCAAACTTTTTAAGCTCTTGGGAAAAAGTACAGACACATATTTTTTATGATATAGGTATGAGGAAGGATTGCTTAATTGTGCCAAATATCTTTTTTTTTTTAATACTTTTAAGTTCTGGGGTGCATGTGCAGAACATGCAGGTTTGTTACATAGGTATACACGTGCCATGGTGGTTTGCTGCACCCATCAACCTGTCATCTACATTAGGTATTTCTCCTAATGCTATCCCTTCCCTAGCCCCCCACCCACAACAGGCCCCAGTGTGTGATGTTCCCCTGCCTGTGTCCATATGTTCTCATTGTCCAACTCAGAACATGCGGTGTTGGTTTTCTGTTCTTGTGTTAGTTTGCTGAGAATGATGGTTTCCAGTTTCACCCATGTCCCTGCTAAGGACATGAACTCACCCTTTTTATGGCTGCATAGTATTCCATGGTATATACGTGCTACATTTTCTTTATCCAGTCTGTCATTGATGGGCATTGTGCCAATAAGTATTAAGTTCAACCTCATTAAAACCATAAAACTTCATAAATGATCATAAAACAGCATAACAAATATAAAAAGCCAAATTATAATTCAATCAATAAAATAAATAAGCCAAAAATATGTGCAAATGAAAAGAATAGATATTCCAGAAGTTACACAATAGGGAAATAAGTATATGAAAATAATGAAACCCATTAAAAAATCATTACACTGAACTATTTTTGTTTACCCACTAGATTGCCAAAAATAACCAGTTCTATAGTACTACATGTTGATGAGTATGTGGAACAATGGGAAGTCTTATAAATGCTGATGAGAGTATAAATCAATACAACCATTCAGAGTGCAGGGAGGGAAATAGCATTACCTTTAAATTTATACATGCATATATCCTGTGACCCAGACATTCTACTCCTAGGTATAGTCTAGAAAAACAGTGCCATATGTCACCAGGAGTCTGTATAAAAGCATTCATCACAACTTTGTTTCAATAACAAAAACTAAAAAGAAATCCTGAATGTCCATTGACAGAGACACTGAAAAATACCTTATAGGATATTCACACAATAAAATATACCTCTATGAAAATAATTTAATACTATAACTATGTATAACGTGGGAGAATACCTGAACCATAATATTGATTAATCAAAAATAATTAGAACTTCTGAATACTACATATAGTATTATTTATATAAAGCAATTATCAAGCTAGACTAGATAATAAGCTACTCATGGAAACATATACTTATTATAAGTATTCTTACAAAAATAAGTGAAAGATAAACAAATTTGGGATAATGGAATTAGAACTATGAAAGCAGTAGGAGAATGGAATTGTGGATAATTTTTAGTTTTGAAGTTATATGGTAGGCTTCTAAGTATTTGTTATTTTAATTAAACTTCATAACTTCATTTTATGTTGCACATATTTTTATATATTAAATATTATATAAAATAAATAGAAGCCTCAAAAATTGAGTAATTTTAGAAGATTGCAGCAAATAAAAGGAGAGATCTGTGGTTTAAAGTAGCTCCGCCTTATCTATATATGTTAACATTCTCCTTTCCTCTATTCCAGTGGTTCTCAATCTTGGCTGTATACTGCAATCACCTAAGGGAGTTTTAAAATAATGATGCCAAGATTACACTTCCAGGGTGTCTGATTTAATTGGACTGGGGAAGGATCTCAACATCAGGATTTTTTAAAGTTATCCCAGGTAGTTCTAATGTGCAATAAAGTATAATAACAGTTGATCTATTTTAAAATAATGTTTCAGAGACGATCTGTCTTGGTTGAAAGAACAAAATGAAAACATACATCTTGATTAAATGAAATATTATATTTACCCCAAATGTCCTATTTTGTACTATGGGAATGTTGAAATGAAAACATAAGGCTTTACAGATATAAAAATTATGATTCTCTAGTCCAAAAAAACTAGACGAGGTCAGAACACATATTAGTATAACAATAAATACAAACCAAAATTGAATAAAATATTTTCTTTGACTCCAGGAAATAAACACAGACATTGCTGAGATACTATGAAAATAAACAAAATGAATGTCATTAACTTAATGTCACATTTGTAAACTTTATAGTTACTAGAACTAAAATGAAAGTGATCTTCTGGTTTTTTTTTAATAATGATAATTCTATTATTAAATATCAATTGAATAATACAAATATTCATTAAATAAAAAAGAAATGTTCACTTGCTTTGCTAGTAAAGAAGAACCATTCATACTGACAAAGAAATAATAAAACAAAATAAGCATTTCATGCACAGAGGCATTATTATTATTACTTTTTGCATTATTTTTCAAGTTAGATATAGTTATTTATAATTCAATCCTGTAATTTCTTGGGAAAATTGCATTCAAATCACAAAATTATAATAAAAATTTTCACTCACAAATTATTGAAAATGTAGAGGTTTTGTTAATGAATTTTACAATTATTGTGATAGTTTTATTTTGTAGGTTATTTCAAGAAGATTTTCGTTGTACATGTGCTGAAAGTTAGGTATACTGAATTTACTTGTACAATATCTAAGCTCTTTAATAACTTAAAATGATCGTTAATGCAGTTTTATTTCATAAAAACAAGTGTTACTTTTTCATATCAAGCTCCTTGCATAGAAGCTGCAAAATTTTAATGTAATGAAGCTCATGAACACTATTACTCATCTAGATTTTGAAATTAGAATAACGTAATTTTCATATCTGTAATGTCTTACATTTTTATTTCAATGTTGCATTTATAGAAATTGTTTTAGGATGCCATCGTGTGGTATAATGACTACATTCAAAAGGTAAATGCAGACAAATGTGGAATATATGCCAATTATAGCAATGCTATAATTTTCTTAATAAAATTTCATTCTGTTTAAGAATTTATGAGAGAAGAGAGAACAGATGTCTCAGATGAGAGGACACATGCGGTTCTTTCATAACCAGGATACCTCTTTGTCCGCAAGGCTCATAAGGAGAAACAGATACCATAAAATCAAAATCTTGGAAACAACAGAGTTAGGCTGATTTATAAATCTTTCCCTTTACCAAATTTAGGTAGTTGGATGAGGCCATCTGATACTGCCAATTTTTGAGAAAAAAATATTTTACTTTATCTGTTTGATCCTAAAGAATATAATTCTATGTCACTCAGCTACACTAAGAAGAGAGAACACAGAGGAAGAAACAAAATAAATCCATATTTTGGTATTGAATGAAAAAGTACTTTTTCTTAAATCTACAGAGTGCTGTATTTGGTGGAAACAAACAGAAAAAGGAATTAAATTCCTAGGATCTGGTGATTTACTTTCTGACTGATCAATAGTAAATCAATTGACTTAGTGGGTCTTAGTTTCCTTATCTGTCAGATAAGGAATTTGGATCAGATATATCTATGGTCTCCTCCAAATCAATAAACGTTCCATACTTTCACGTTCCCTGACACTTTAAAAAAACCTTATGAGCAATACCAACCATACATTAATAAATGAGTATTGAAAACCTATGGCAGAAATAAAGAAAAGATGTTGGGAACTGAAGCACACCTCAGTATAAAAGGGCAATAAAATTACATGATAAAATGTTTTCTAATCTATAATTATTATAGATTTCACAGAAGGCAAAGATGAACAATGAGGACTAGAAGACTCACCAGCTTTGTGGAGACATGGAACTTGAATTGAATACAGATAACAGGATTTGGGTAGACTTGCATAAAAGAGCATTCAAAGTGAATAAGAGAGAATATACAAATGGAAGACTAACCAGTGATGGAAACAAACAAACAAATAAAGACAGGGGCTTTGTATACCAATCAAACATGTTCTATTTGACCTGAAGGATATTTTAATAAGGAAATTTCACACAAAAATCCATATTTTCAGCTTCTCTTGGAAGAGCAGATCTGACAACAATGGCTCATAGCACCTAAATGGCAAAAGCTAGTGAGGTTGACCCTTGATATACTCCATGCTTTCTCCAGTGTACCTCAATACGTAGAACTTTCTGATGTTTCCCCCACCTGGCCTGCTTTACACACTTATGGTATTTTTCTATGCCTCCAGGTATTAATTTGAATATGTAACCCTTGGATATGGGTCATATAAGATAAAGTGAAGGGAATGAGAACAAATTTAAGTGATTGGATGAGGCCATCTGATACTCCCAATTTTAGAGAAAAAATATTTTACTTCATCTTTTGGACTCTAAAGAATCTAATTCTATGTCACTCAAGTATTAATTTGAATATGCAGCCCTTGGATATGGGTCGTACAAGACAAAGTGGAGGGAATTATAACAGAAGATAGAAAATAAATGAAGACAGTTAATACTTTTAATGCCTCATAACAGTTTAAATGCATTTATTTTATCAAACCTAAGTTAAAGACTCTTCAAATAAGCATGGGAAATCATGTAATGTATATGTAAAATAAAGTATCCCAAATCTGGAAGCATTTATACTCCCTAATATTATAAAATGAACTTTGTATTAAAGTTCAAGAAGTTCAAGAAGAAAATTACAATGTCTACTTTAGTCAATAAACTATTCCCTGTAGCTGCCTCATTTAATTCAAAATAAGAATAAAGAAACTGAGGATGGAATTGATCAAAATAAAAACAAAAACAAACTAATCATCTCACTGAACAGAGGCTGTGCATATTTAGACTACATGACTTGCTAAGCCCTATCTGGATCAGAATCTTCCTCAGCTATTTTCACATGGGAGCCTTAACATTAAAAATAATCATTTTCCCAATTCTAGTACCAAGAATGAAAGTAGCTTAATTTGAATTACCCTTCCAGAGGTGATAAACTCTGGATAAAATATAAAAGTTAACTATTTAATGCACTGGAGAGCAACCAAAAGTAGGCAGAAATTGAAGGGGATTGAATTCTTGAAAGAAAGGGAATGCAACTGGGTGATAACATAAACATTTATGTGACTTCACTTAAGGGAACACTAAAGTCTTCCCATATGCAGAATGGCTAATACTCAAGGGGAAACTTACAAGTGTATTGCTTTAGGTGTCAGAGAAGTTTGTGTTTTCTAGAGCAGATGGAAATTAACAGAGCAAGTCCCAGAAAGCAGGACTTTCTATAACTAAGGGATTTTTCCTAAGACTAAAAGCTAAACTAAAAAGACCCTCCTAATGAAGTGAAAATAAAAGCTCTGTAAGTTCAAGATCAGCCAAAAATTAAATTGCTAGCTATAACTAAAGTCATAACTCTTCACGGAGTTACTGGAATCCAAAGTCTCTACAATGTTCTTACATATGATATGATACAATAATAAGGAGGCTTTGATATCTTGAGGATGCTTACAGTAATACCTTAAACAACTGCTAAATATAAAATAAAATAGAGGTATGACCAAAAAGGGGGGCAATAAAGAAAATAAAATGGAATAGCAAAACATTTCATTAATGCAAAATAAGATAGAAAAGGAGAAAGAGCAGGGGATGAAGAGATGCAACACATAGGAAAAAAGCAGAAAAATTTATATAAGCTCAATCATAGTAAATTTTACATTAAGGATTCCAATTAAAACAGAATGCCAAACTAGACTTTTAATAAAGCCTGTTGTCTACAAGATGTACTTTTTGTTTTCTTTGAGATAGAGTCTCATTCTGACACCCCGGCTGAGTGCAGAGGCCTGATCCTCACACCTGAACCTCACGAGTAGCAGGGACTACAGGCACATGCAACCATGCCTGGCTAATCTTTTAAAAATTTTATTTGTAGAGACAGGTTCTTGCTATGTTGCCAGGCTGGTCTAGAACTCCTAGGCTCAAGTGATCCTCTTGCCTCAGCCTTCCAAAGTGCCAGGATTACAGGCATGAGCCATCACGCCTGGCCAAGAGATACATTTTAAATTAAAAGACATAGATAAGGTGAAAGGAAAAGAGAGGGGAAAAATATATGTATACACCCCCCCCCACACACACACATATATATATATATAAAGATAAGCATTAAAAATTAGTATGGAAATATTAATATCAGACCAAGTAGAGTTTCAGACAAGGGATATTACCAGAATTAAAAAGATGTATTTCAAGTGTTTGACAGAACAAAAAGGTGATAGTCAAATCTACAACTATAGTTCAACATTTGTATAATCCTCTTTAATCGATAAAATTTTAAAATATAGTCAATATAGAGAATATTTAATTATACTATCAACTACTTTGTCCTAATTTGACATATAGAACAACACACAAAACTGCAGAATGCATAGCCTTTGCAAAGTGTACCTAGAGCATTTACTAATATAGGCCAAATGCTAGAACATTTTAAAGGTTTAATTATTGGCCAGGCGCGGTGGCTCACGCCTGTAATCCCAGCACTTTGGGAGGCTGAGGCGGGTGGGACACCTAAGGTCAGGAGTTCAAGACCAGCCTGGCCGACTTAGTGAAACCCTGTCTCTAGTAAAAATACAAAAATTAGCCAGGTGTGGTGGCGGGTGCCTGTAATCTCAGCTACTTGGGAGGCTGAGGCAGAAGAATCATTTGAACACAGGTGGAGGTTGCAGTGAGCCGAGACTGCGCCACTGCACTCTAGCCTGGGTGACAGAGCAAGACTCTGTCTCAAAAAAAAAAAAAAAAAAAGAAAGAAAGAAAAACTGAAAAAGTTTAATTTTTAATTGAAATTTTACAAAGTATAACCTCTAATAAGAATGGAATTAAATTTGATGTGAATAAAATGACAGCTTAAAATGTCCAAATATTTGGAAAGTTAAAACATACTTTTCAATGACCATGAGTCAAATAAGAAACTACAAAGAAAATTAAATATTTTACTGAGTTATGATAAAAATACAACATCTCAAAGCAGAGTTTAGAGGGAAATTTATAGCAGTGAAGATGTATATGAGGAAATGAATAAGTTTTTAATTCAATGATCTAAGTTTCCACCTTAAAAAGCTAGAAAAGGAAACAAAGTATATCCAAACTAAATGGAAGGAAAAATAAATAAAAGACAATAATATAAGGGAAAAAAGCAATAACTATGGAATAATGACAGCAAATTTTCACAATAAATATTTTCAAGGTCTAAGGGTTAGGCTAGGTTAAAATCTACGTTTACAATTCAGTATAGCAGACTTGTTACATCATCATGGGTCTGGAACAGCCACTTACAGAGCTGAAATGACAAGAAAATTTGTGTTGTGAAAATGTAAAGCTTTAGGTTTTCATCTAGATATATAAATAGTTCTTCCACTATGCAAAAAGCTTTGACCACCTTTCTATACCTTTATGAACTGGTCAAAATGCAAGATACAAAATGATGTGGTTTGTTTGCAAAATCTTCTTCACTTTTTTTAAGGAATGTGCATTTTATTTCTAGAATAAATTTATTCATGACACTCCACTAAAATGTTTTCCCCAAAGAAAGTGACATTCTTCCCATTGTTTCCATGGCTCCAGCAAGCAAAAATGGGTGTAACAAGTGGTCCAAACACTTTTTACTTTCTTATAGAACAACAGAAAAGAAAAATAACTGCCTTCCCTGGTACTAAGCTGCACCAAATACAAATGCTGAAGAAGCACTTGGGCTAAAAACAAATTCTAATCTGATGCATTAACCTCTTTGAAGAGATAATATTGGCATCTAAGCTATTAATTAACTTCTGTTTATAAAGGAATTGTAAGAGAAAAGTAGAATGTAAATACTAATTAGTCTTATTATAATAATTATATTTTATCCTTATAATGTTATATAACCCTTAAGAAGAAATTAAGTTGTCATTTTAAGTATAATAAAGAATAAAAACTTTTGAGTGCCTACATTACAAAGTTACAGGATAACTTTTCAGGAGACAAATTTATTGCACTCAAGTGTAGCCTTAAGATGAATGCAGCATAGGTGACCATTTTAAAGGTTCTCATAGGTTGGTAGAATTTAAGAAAAGGAGAAATAACTCGCAGGTCCCAAATAACCCCACATTAACTGGCTATATTCCTGGAATTTTCCCATTCACATTTATTCTGTTGGGTTAATAGCTTTTGGGCCTTCAAGAGATCTCCACAAAATGTTCACTATGGAAATAACCCCTAAGACATTTTAAACAAATACCTCAAAAATCACTGGTTGAAGCTATCAAAGTGTAAAAGAGGTGGTTTGTGGAAAACAAGCACCATCAGAAGTGGGAAAGAGCTCTCCCATGATTACCTAATTCACTTAGGTCTAATCTTGTAGGGAAGTGAAATGTTGCTTAGTTTTGCCGAGTTTTTAATATAATTATATTGAATTGTTTGTTACTAGAAATTTTGTGATAATAAGGAAAAGAGATGATTATCACAGAAATATTGTTATTTTGGGGATAGCAAATATCTTTTTTCTAAGTGTTTCTGTCTGTTTTTGGTTTTGTTTTGTTTGTTATAAACTCCTCCATAGAGTATGTGTGTGATTATTAAAGGGAAACTTCAAGAGTCTGATCTTTTAGGAATGTTGTAATTTAAAAATATGGATGTCATTTCATAAATGTTCCTCAAGTCTTATGATTCCAATCCCATCAAATGCATTGGTCAAGTGTTGTCCTCATGAGGCTAGTAATGGTTTGCCAGGGAATTTCTGCAGTTCCAGGGACTGAAACCAGGGCTGACAAATCACAGGGCTAAAGATGCAAACTGAAATTTCAGTCACCGAGTGGGAAGGACAAATTTTTCAGTCACTGAGTAGAAGGACAAGTTTTAGCAAAGGAATTTTCAATAATTAGTATAAACCTAGGTCATTTTCAAGACCAGTTTTAAATCTTGAAGGGGAAATAAAAGGAATAAAAGAAACATCAGTTTAGCTCAGCCTTCACCTTTAGACCATGATCCTTTCTCTTTAATAGGCAAATTGGCTCTTGTCACTCCTCCTGGTTAAAACCCTCCAGTGACTTCCCTTTGCACTTAGAATATAACTGGAACTCCTCATTTGGATGTATGAGCCCTACATGGTCTGGCTTCAATATGCGAACCTCACCTCCTTCCACTTTCCCCTCACTCACTACCCGGTAGCCACATTGCCCACGTTTTTAGAACTGCACATGGCAAGTGAGCCCCTTCCTTCATTTGGGCATTGTACTCACTGTTCCCTCTGCCTGTACCGTATGTCTACACTCTTTTTCACAAAGCAAGTTCATTCTCTTCCAGCAGGCCTCCACTTAAAAATCCTTTCCTCAAAGAGATCTTTCCTGGCTATCTGAAGTAGAATTCTTCAATTACTTTCATTATTATCATCTGGTTAATTTCAATCATGGGACTTAAAACAATCTGTAATTACTTCGGTTGCTTATTGATTTATCTGTTACCTTTTTTAGGTTATAAGCTATGTAAAGTTGGGGAGCATATTTTTCTTGTTTGTCACCATATCTCTAGTTAGCATGGTGCCTAGCCTACAGAAGAGATTTCAGTTATGTTTAGCTTATTATTTTTACTATGATCCCAAAGCTTAACAGAAGCCACTCTGACAGCTAGACTGTCTTGTCTCCAATGTCAATTTGTTTTCTTCTTTTTCAAATCATGTGAAAACAGTGGAAGTAGTGAAAAGTGACCTGATTTTAGAAATATTTGGAAAGTAACAACTACATGATTGTCTGACAGATTGAATGTGTAATATAGGTGATATAGAGTCAAAGATGATTTTAATATCTGAGTTAATCCAAGAATGAATTTTCAATTTACTGAGAAAATAATGAGGTGGGCAGGTTTGGGTGAGAGGAAGGGAGATGAGTTCAATTTCAGATATGTTAAATTTGAAATATTTATAAATCCACTTAAATTAAAACAAATGTAGATAGTTGCATACCTGAGTATAGTACCGAAGGGAAGATCAGGGTGCTGAGGGACCACCAGAGACCAACGTAAAATGTTTATCATTATGAACCTCACTAACTGGATTAAGGAATGATTGATTCCACTTTTCATCCAGATGCTGCAGCGATGTGCATCCAGAGCCTCCTCTACTCAGGTTTGCCTAGGTTGAAATTCCATGGGATTAATTTAAACAAGATCTTTGTTTTCCATAAGCCCATTACTATCCCTGTTATACACAGCAAGTCTTAAACATTTGCTGAATTTGTAGTAAATGTTTCTCCTTCACCTTACCTTCTGCTTTAAAAACACTAATTTGAGTGGTTATGAAATGACTGTGCATAAAATGGAGCTGTGTGACTTTTTTAGAGGACAATGATGCCTTGACTTTTCTGTCCCCAAGGATCTGACCCTTAAAATTCTATAAGGACATGGAATAATTGGTTATTTGCATATGTCTCTTTTTTCTTTCTTCCCTTTGTGTGTTGTTCAAAATCAGACAATGTATTCCTTGGACTATCTTGGCAGTTTATGAGCCTGAATCAATCAGCTAATTTGTAAGCATGGCACAGGATTTATGTGTACAGCTATAAATGAACATAGTTATTTCTCTATTTTAAATATAATAATCACTTTAGACAGTATACTTTTAATTAATTACTGCAGATTTTTTACTAGTTTTCATCTTAAATATGAGCATTTCACAATCCTCTATTAAAACTCTGCTTTGAGATGTAGAGCTGTGGAACACCAATCAGGAAAAACATAAATATAGAGGACATATTTTAATATAGCTACTTGAGCAGAGGAAAGTGGTTTTCTTGTAAATTTTAAATATCGTGCTTTCAAAGAGAGATGCTGATACGGGAATAGAAGACAGCAAAGCTGCAGAATTGAAAATAATACAAAAATTGCCTTTATTATTCAGAATTCCCCAAAGAAACAAAACCAACAGGATATGAGTAGGTGTAAACAAACATGTATATACATAGAGAGAGGAATTGACTCATGTGATTGTAGAGGCTGCTGATAATTCCCAAGATCTGCAGTTGGCAAGCTAGAGACCCAGGATTGCCAATGTATAGTTCCAGTCTGAAAGCTCACAGGCTGAAGACCCAAGAGTCTGTTTCAATTCGAGTCTGAAGACAAGAAAAGACTGATGTCCCAGCTTACCCAGTCAGGCAGAGGAGTTCTGCTTTACTCACAGAAGGGTTAGCCTTTTTGTTCTATTCAGACCTTCAACTGATTGGACAAGGGCCACCCAAATTAGGAAGGGCAACTTGCTTTACTCAGTCTACTAATTCAAATGTTGATCTCATCTAACAGCACTCTCACAGACACACCCATAGTAATGTTTGACCAAATACTTGTATGCCCTAATGCCCAGGCAAGTTGACACATAAAATTAGCCATCACATTGTCACATAAATATGACAGGGCACTTATTTTCATACAAGAAACTATTTTTCCTCAAAAAAATTAACAATGAAGTTAATTCTTATTCATGTATACCTTCTTTCCTCCCAGGAGTGTCGCTTTTAACCATTAGAGTGTTGCTACATCTCTTTGAAAATTATGGGAGTTTTCCATAACCAAACTGGAAGAGAAGACATCTTGAGTTCTTATACTAACTCTGATTCCCAGCTCCCTAACTCCTGAGTGAACTTAGGACAAGTCAGTTAAACTTGTGAAATCTTAATTCCTCAAATACAAATACAAGAAGGACACTGGACCAAAGGGCTCCTATGGCTCTTCCGTGGGAATGACTCTTTAACTGGTGATAGCTCCCTTCTCTACTACTGTATGTGTTTGGACCCATCATAGGTGGAAGTGAACTCCCCAGCTTTTAGCCTAAGAACAAGTCCTTGTGGTGATCATGATGGTTAGGGGAGCAGAGGAGAAAAAGCAACACCATCTGCTACCTGAATTGTTTGCACTGACCATAGTAGGAAGAAAAATCGTTCTAAAGTACCCAACATGTCCGAAATACACATTGTTTTTCTTTTCTTTTCCTTTTTTCTTTTTGAAACAGAGTCTTGATATGTCACCCAGGCTGAAATGCAGTGGCATGATCTCAGCTCACTGCAACCTCCACCACCTGGGTTCAAGCAATTCTCATGCCTCAGCCTCCCGAGCAGCTGGAACTACAGAAGTGCACAACCACGCCCTAATTTTTTTTGTGTATTTTTTGGTAGAGATGGGGCTTCACCATGTTGGCCAGGCTGGTCTGGAACTCCTGTCCTCAAGTGATCTGCCCTTCTCAGCCTCCCAAAGTGTTGGGATTACAGGCGTGAGCCACTGTGCCCTGTCCTAAATAGGCATTCCTATACTCACATAATTATACAAAACGAAACCATGCTTCTTTATTTCCTTTCTTTTTTGTTATTTTATTCAAATGTCTACTCAGAATTTTGTCAAGGGGAGGAGAAGGAAGTATGAAAAGTGAAGGAACCTGGTCAGTTCAACAGTGCTGTCCACAGGTGTGGCCCAAATCAGACTCGCATATCTAATTCTTTGAATTTTCTTTTCACTAAAATATAGAGGGTGTCTATTGCTCTGAGCTAGTTTCACCATCCATAACTCTCTAAGTTTTCTTCCAAGACTGTGATAACCACAGTAATGTTCTGTGGTACCAGTTACACAAAAGACTAGAAGTTAACTGTCTAGCATACCTTACGGATAAAAGTGGATGTTAAACTGACCTATTTTTTTCCACCAACCTTAAATTTTTGTTATTTTTGTTGGCTTTGTGTGTTTTGTTTTAGGGGGTTGTTTTTGTTTGTTTTGTTTGTTTTGGAGGCAAGTCTGTTTTCCTCAGATGGTTAAATCTAGTATTTTTAAAATCTACTTGAGTTCAAACAGATTAATATATTTTATGGTTAATTTCACCCTTCACCATTTTACTCCCCAATAGAATCTAAATGCAAATGGACTGAGAAAACAGTATTAGAAGTAGTTGTCCACACACTGGAGTAAAAATATGGTAATTATCCCACTGTTGTGACTCCCCAAGACAGCCAAATAGGATCATTCAAATCCTAAAGGAAGTTTCAGGGGTCTCAATTACCCACTTTGGCTGTCTACATCAATCAAAATAACTACCCTCTTTTCCAATTCTCATTCATGCTGTAACATATAGCTACAATTACAGGTGAAATATAAGGAATCACTTTGTGACAGTGAGGCTTGTTCAGCAACAGAGCATATAAACACTGAATCATTTCCATTTCTGATAATTGGAAACCCATTGAGTCAGGGTTGGATTAGATGCATCTCTGACTGTGGGAAGGAGATAAAGTTCCTTATTGAAAACTCTTTTAGTACTTTCATTTATTTAAGTATATTATTTCCTAAATATGTAGTGTTCTGTCTATATATTCTCCAAAAAAAAGCAATTATATTTTTCTTTTTTTCTGTCTTCCAGCCAAATTACCACTCTCTTGGGCCTATAACTTTATCATACTCCTGAACATATTTGACCAAGTGGTACTAAAACTTTGAAATACAAGGCTAAAGTTACTGCTTACTGAGCCAGGGGTGTAAGAATTTACAGTACTACTACTCACTGGGTCTATCTTGGCTCATGTTTAATAGTGATGGATTTCTAGCACGCAGAATTTAGAGATTTTTCACTATTTTCACAACATTGGGATTATTAATAGAGTAGTATCTGAAACTGAACAATATAGGGGAAGGGGAAAGAGAGGTTGTGAATTATTTTGTGTGACTTTTTAATTCTTTTGATATGCATGCACTTGTCACAACCTCTCCTTGCTTCATAACAGTATGCATAACGTGTGGTTGATTCTTTGGCCATCTCTATGCAGAATTCTGTGTGACAGCAAGTGCTACATGATGACTGGGAATGTGATGATGATTGCTGCTGCCACTTCCACAACTACTCTACCTCCACCATCTTCACCACCACTACTGCAATATACCGTTAGGCTGATAATAAATCTGGAAAGTTTACCCTGGGTTAATCCAACTCATACTTGGCTAAAATGCCTCAGAAGCAAATATGCAGAATATGAACACAGAATTGGTGACTCAGGTTCTCAGGTTCTCAGAGTGGAGTTAATTGCCCCTCCTAAGCCCATGGGCCATATCACCTTGCTGACTGTTAACAGGCTTGACTCTCCCAGCCAGAAATAGTTCCATCATGGAAGTTGTCCGAGTGCCAAGTAGATTTGCCATGTATTGTTCTTCTTTCTGTATTTAATTTATAGACAGATAGTGAGCATTATTGGAATAAGACCCTCAGGCATTTGAGAACTTGTGAGGATGAGTATGTCAGATTTCTATTTTTTTTAAATGCACAGCCTTTAGAGAGAGACCTGGAAAATCATTGCTGCCTGCATGGCATGCAATGCCATTTCTAATCCAGCAAGAAAAGAGGCAAAGAAAAATTACTATATGTGACTTTTTTTCTATGATTTACTTATCACAAGCTCTCTTTGCTTGATATCTGTATGCTAATAGGTGGTTGACTTGTCAGCCAACTGTGTTCAGAATTCTCTGTGACAATGTTGGCTTGCTTACATAAATGGTTTAGTAAAATTTCCACGCTTAAGATAGGCATTTTTCTTTAAGCAAATAGTTTCATGAAGGAAAAAAAACCCCAAGGGGATCACTTGACATTAGTTCTGGCTCAACAAGACTCAGGTTAGTGAACTATTGTGAACAGCCAAGAATTTAGTGACATATCACTTCAGATATGATGGATGCTTAGCAATTACTGATCATATATTGCACTGACAGAGTTGGCATTGAAAGTGGAAGCTGTTCAGAATGATAAATGGATATGACAATTTATTAAAGATAGAAAGCATGATTAGTGTTGGATGTAGATGTACCCTTTAAAAAACGAGGTAGGAAATGAAATAAAAACAAAATTTTATATATATATAAAATACATATTATATATATACATACACACACATATATATCTTGAGGGGTAATAAAGATATTCTTGAACATAAATGTCACACAATTTTTAGACAGTCATGGTGTCTCCACTTCTCCTGACTAGTACCTTCCTCATGCCCTCCTTCTGGTCATTAGTATTCCTCATGGAGTCCATATTGCAGAGTGCCTCAAGCCTGCTTAGAGGATCTTTTGAGTCTGTTCTAACACTTCTGATTTCATTGTAGCCCTTGACATGAACATTTTCATGTAAAGTTTCTGGTCAAGCTGTTTGTGCTGTTTCCCTTTCACGAATGAAAAGGAAGTACTAGGACTAAACGTGCTATGGAAAGAGAGTAATCCCCTAAATATGCATATATGCTTTGTTTATTGGATAAACTGATTGAGGAAATACACAATGCCACTGCTAATTATATATATATATAATTATATATATATATACACACACACATATATATGTGTATATATGTATATATATAAAATTATATATATGTATATATATAATTATATATATACACACACACATATATGTGTATATATGTATATATATAAAATTATATATGTGTATATATGTATATATATATGTATATATATACAATTATATATACACACACATATATGTGTATATATGTATATATAATTATATATATTTTGCATATATATGTATACACACACATATATATGCAAAAATAATTCATAAATCTTATTTAAAAAAATTTTTTTGGCTGGTCATGGTAGTTCATGCCTGTAATCCAAGACTTTGGGAGGCTGAGGTGGGAGGACCAGTTGAGGCCAGGAGTTTGAGATCAGCCAGGGCAACACAGCAACACTTTGTCTGTACAAAAATAAAAATAAAAAAATTAGCTAGGTGTGGTGGTGTGTGCCTGTACTCCTAGCTACTCAGGAGGCTGAGAGGCAGGAGGATCTCATGGGCCCAGGAGTTTGAGTCTGCTGAGTTATGTTTGTGCCACTGCACTCCAGCCTGGGCAATAGAGCAAGACCATATCTCCAAAACAAAGTCTGATAGACTAGTAAAATTTTACAAACAGCTGTAAACCTGTCAATTAATCAGAAAAGCCATTAAATTTTGCTTCTAAGTAATAATCTGCCTTCACGATTTCTTGGTATTTTGATATGTGTAAATGTTTTATTAGAGAATATAAATTCATTTCTGTTGTATATACATAAATATACATTATATATGGTATACAATATTACCGCCCTTCCCATGTAATGCATTTAATAAAACAATTTACAAAAATGTTTTATTAGGTTTCTACTATAAGTTCTTTAGAAATATCGTACACACATATGGGAATGACTCCTGTTGTCACCTACATTCAGTGAACACAATGTATGCTCAGGGATAATGAAAAATGAAGATTCTATCACTATCTGAATGGGTAGATTTTAGGAAAGCCTTTATCTGTCCTTGAAATCAACATCTCCATACACTTAAAATATTTAAAGCATTACTATATCATATTTTAAGGTTATCACAATCTTTTATAAATTTTTCTTAAGTTTTTATAAATCCTCTTTTATTTTCTTCTAACTCTCTGGCTGTTCCTAAGGCTTGGTTTGTTTTTTGCTTTTATGTCCTTCTCCTTTTTCCATATATTGAATGGTGACATTCCTCAAAATTCTACCAGAGGCCTGTTTCTCATGTTACTGTGCTCCTTCCCAAGGAAATGTTGCTTGTGCCCATGACTTTAATCGTCACATTTATTCAAATGACTCACAGCCCAGGCTTCTTTCCTGAACTACAAAATTTTGAAACTCACTGCCTACTTAATATCTCCACTGAAAGAACTCAAAAGCAGTACCACAAATTCAACATGTCCAAAGCCAAACCCACAATCTTTTCCTACCCCCAACTCTGCCTTGTCCTCTTCCATCATTCTTTGTCTTAGTGAATGACACAACTATTCAACCAGTTGCTCAGCCTGGAAAAAAAAGAAGCACCTTTGGTATTTTCATCTCCTTCCTGTCACCCTTTCATATGTAATGATCACCAAATGCTATTGCTCTTTATTCTAAGTATTATGCAGTTTATTCATCTCCTTTCCATTTCTATTGCCACTAATCTAGTGCAGGCTATATTGAATGGCATATTTCATGTTCTCCCTAACTAACAAAGCCAACAATGGCAATAACAAAACAAATTTACAAGAAAACACCAAACAACCCTATCAAAAGGTGGGAAAAGGATATGAACAGACACTTCTCAAAAGAAGACATTTATGTGGCCAGCAAACATATGAAAAAAAACTCATCATCACTGGTCACAGAGAAATGCAAATCAAAATCACAATAATATACCATCTCATGCCAGTTAGAATGGCGATCATTAAAAAGTCAGGAAACAACAGGTGCTGGAGAGGAGGTGGAAAAATAGGAACACTTTTACACTGTTGGTGAGAGTGTAAATTAGTTCAACCATTGTAGAAGACAGTGTGGAGATTCCTCAAGGATCTAGAATCAGAAATACCATTTGACCCAGCAATCTCATTACTGGGTATATACGCAAAGGATTATAAATCATTCTACTATAAAGACACATGCACGTGTATGTTTATTGCAGCACTATTCACAATAGCAAAGACTTGGAGACAACCCAAATGCCCATCAATGACAGACTAGGTAAAGAAAATTTGGCACATATACACCATGGACTACTATGCCGCCACAAAAGGGAATGAGTTCATGTCCTTTGCAGAGACATGGATGAAGCTGGAAACCATCATTCTCAGCAAACTAACAAAGGAACAGAAAACCAAATACTGCATGTTCTCACTCGTAAGTGGGAGTTGAACAATGAGAGTACATGGGCACAGGGAGGGGAACACCACACACCAGGGCCTGGTGGGGGTGGGGAGTAAGGAGAGGGATAGCATTAGGAGAAATACCTAATGTAGATGATGGGTTGATGGGTACAGCAAACCACCATGGCACATGTATACCTATGTAACAAACCTGCACGCTCTGTGCATGTACCCCAGAACTTAAAGTATAATTTAAAAAAAAAAGAAAAAGAAAAATGATATTAAGTAATAATTATTATACCAACTTATAATACTACATTAATATATTGGAATATTTATAGATTATTTTATACTATATTCATTTATGTAATAATAATAAACTTTTTGTGCTTACAGTGCCAGGTACTGTAATAAACACATTTACTTGACTACCTAATTTCTCATAAGCAACCTAAAACGAAGGTGTTATCATTACATCACTTTCCATATGAAGACATTTAGGTTTAGAGAAGTTAACTTACCAAAGTCACTTAGCTATAGTACTTCACGTCTCTGATTATGTCACAACCTCAAACACAAACACATACTCATTACCTTCCACTCCTCACTCTACCACATAAAACACATTTAATGCTTATTGCGGTTCCTAAGATAAAATGGAAAATCCTAGTCACCTCTCCCTCTGTAGTCTTCATGAGCCAGCCATACCACTGGTTTTTAGTTCCTTAAATGCTCCATGGTCCCTTGCACCATAGGAACCTGCACATTCTGTCCCTTCTGTTTGGCATATAGCCTCCCTTCCCTGAACCCTCCCTACCAGTACATGCCTTCATACATCATGTACCTCTCCCTCAGGACACATCACTATTCATAACACAATGTAGTTCTCCTCCATCATACTCATCATTACAGAGATTTAATACATTTTTTGTGTAATTTTACATGAATATGTGTGGTTTTAATTAACATCTATCTCCAATATTTTATTGAAAGCTCCATTGTGGAAGAAGTATAATTTTTATTAAGTACTATATCTGAGACATTTGCTTTCATAGTATCTGGCCTATATTAGGCATTCAATAAATAATTATTGAATAAATAAACTTATGGAAAAGTAAACTATGTGGGTGCAAAGTTCCAAATAACTTTTGGTGGACAACCAACATGCTAGAGTCACGAGCAGTAGTTCTAGACAAGAATCCAATCAATCATGCAGTTGGGCATGGTTTATTTTTCTTTATATTCCCAGAGCCTACCACAATGACTTCACACAGAAGTATTCAATTAATGCTTACTGAAGGAACACATCACCTCTATTAGGTCTGTTTCTTGCTTACATTTAAATCCATAGCAAGAGACCACTATAAGAAGGCTGAGTTACTTGGAAACATCAATTTCCCTGACAGGCGGACAGAAATCTGAAAACATCTGCCCTGGATACGAACGCTTCAGGAAGTTTACATTCTAATTAAGCAGTTAATGCATGTTTATTAACTACTGTAAAAATATTTCATCATAAGCTCAACAATCCCCCTTTCTTTGAAAGAGCAAAGAGCACACAAAAAACAAAACACAAAACAAAAACATGTAGATCTTGTTTTTGTTTTCTGTTGTATTATTTTTATCTTCCCAAAGTGCTGTCATTTTAATTCTAACTGATCTGTATTTGAAATATAGAATACTTTTAAATCTCACCAAGATCATTTTAATACCTGTGTTATTTTTAAGATTCTTTATCACATCATGTTACTATGAATGGAGAAGTCCTAGGGTTGATGATTGTATTAAAGAAAGACACTCGTCATATAAGCATAAAGCTATGGCAGTGAAAGTGGAAGCTAAAGCTATTGCCCCATTGATGACACCCATAATTCCTGCTCAGACCAAGGTTCTGTTTCACCAATGGAAAGACAGGAAAGGAGGGAAGATGTAACAGATAGATAGATAGAAATTGATTTATCTCCAAGGCAAGTTTGCAGATAAACTGAGTTATATATTACAAACCGATGTACGAAGCATAGTTCTGGCATTAAGAGTTGGATTCAACCTCTAAGCTTCCAATAGCACTTCAATGTCAACAAAAGCAAAAATGAACAAGTGGAATTAAACTAAAAACAAAACTTCTGCAAAGTCAAGGAAACAATCAACAGAGTGAAGAGATAAGCTATGGAATGGCAGAAAATAACTGGAAACCATATATTCAGTAAGTGGTTAATATTTAAAATATGTAAGAAACTCATACAACTTAATATCAAATAAAACCAAACAAGAACAAAACACAAGAACACCAAAAAAGGGGAAAAAACCCAAGTAACCCAAGTAAAAAGTCAACAAAGGAACTGAATAGACATTTTTCCAAGGAAATCACACAAATGGCCAACAGACAAGTATACGAAAATGTTCACAACATCACTAATCATCAGGGAAATGCAAATCAAAACTACAGGTATTAACTCATACTTGTCAAGATGCATATTAAAAAAGACAAAATACAAAAGATAAGTGTTGATGGGGATATGGAGAAAAGGGAATGCTTATACATTATTGGTGAAAATGTAACTTGGTATGTCTACTATGAAAAATAGTATGGAAGTTCCTCAATAAATTAGAAATAGAACTACCATATGATACGGCAATTGTATTAGGTTGGTGCAAAAGTAATTACAGTTTTTGCAATTACTTAAAAAAACTGCAAAAATTGCAATTAGGTTTGCACCAACCTAATATTTTGAGTACATATTCAGAAGAAATAAAATCAGTATGCCAAAAATATCTGCACTCCCAATCTCTGGGCATTTTAACACTTTAAGTAACTGATCTAAGCCAATGATCCAACCCATTTATTTAAACTCAATTATTTCACAAAGGCTCAATAAATAGAAGCCCATCTCTGAAGAACCATTCAATGTTCTTTATTTCTGTGCAGCTAACAACTGTGACCAGCAATGCTGACAATCAACATTTTCTTTCATACTATGTCTTATCACCATACCCCCGAAATACATGTCTGGCATAGTCAAAACCAGAAATGAATTGCTTTTTAATTAAATAACTAGAAGCAGGAAGGGAAACATAAAATAACCAAAAAGGAAATCATCATGAACCCGTATGTTCTCTTGAAAAGTTGCCAGCAGCAATTCATAGCTTAAAAAA
Organism: Homo sapiens; assembly: GCF_000001405.40. NCBI lineage: Eukaryota > Metazoa > Chordata > Mammalia > Primates > Hominidae > Homo > Homo sapiens. The sequence goes on from NC_000005.10 coordinate 110,514,344, forward strand.
AAGCACAAAAATGTAAACCTTCCACTTATTATTTATCACAATCTTACTAAGAATTAAATATTATATTCTAAAGAAAATAAATATTTTAGAACATCTAGTAAATTATGGAACAAAAGGATAAGGAACTGACATGTCCAGGCTCTTTATCTACCTTCTTTTTCTATATCCTCAGGACAAAGCTTAGAGCAATGTATAGCTTTTTAATTTTTAAAGATCAGAAGCCTAAGGCTCAGAGAAGTTAAGTAACTTACTTTAAATCAATCAGAAAAAAAACCTATAAAATAAGCATATTTCACATAGTCTGAAGGAGGCACAGACTTTTTACATTTTTTTTCCTTCATGAAACAGAACAAGACAGATTGGTTTAAGACATTTTACTTAGGCATCCTAGGGGCACGGTCAAGCCCAGACAATATTAAGTTAAGAGGCCAAGTCTATTTTGGGGGCCCTCTTCTATTTAAACTCTCTCTATATGTACTTACTAGACTTACTAGAAAGTGACTCTTCTTTGATATAAATTTCCTAAAATTAAGTAGAGAGGTTCAAGGCCTAGAAAAAATAAGTTCACTAATGAAAATCAAGTTCTAAAAATCATACGGCAGAAATTGAAAAAGAATTGTTTGAACATATTTTTAAACAATTGCTCAAGGCTTAGGTATCAGATAAAGTTCATATGAGGGAGAAGAAAACAGCACAGTGAACACAAGAGTCAGAATGCCTTTGTTTAAATTCAAATTTCTGAACTTATGGTTGCAAATCCTTGGACTAATTAACCTCATCAAAACTCAATATCCATGTCTATAAATGAAGGAAATAATCATAACTCCATCTAAGGGTAGTACTTCACATAGTGCCTTGCTTATAAAATGCACTCATGTGGTGTGGCAAACAAAATTGATCATCTTGGATTGTCTGGCAAAATGCTACCTAGAACTGAGGGTCTTAAGAATCTCCCACTTTGTGGAGTTTCTTCTCCTAAACCCAACTTCCCAATGATTCAATGCTTTCTTTACAACCATTAAGAGCACCTCTTAAGGCCTCCAGGTTCTGGGCAGCTGGCATTTCCATCATCCCGTCCCTTAGATGATACCTAACTGATTCATGATGGTTTGATAACTGAGCCAAAAACATTTCTCCACTGAAAAGGAGTTTACACTCTTATAAGAAGGTAGAGTAGCAGTCAGGCACTATCCCTTTGAAATACAAACCCAATGAATGTCCAAATGCTTCCCCAAACTCCAGCACCCCTAATCAATGGGATAATTCAAAATGTAAACCATGTACTTCTTTCTGCTAACGGTTGACTTCTAAGCCTCTCCAGTAAAGCCTATTCTTAACCTATTTCATGGGGCATTATAGCACTTACCTTTCCCATCTTTGCACCATTCAGTAAATGTTAGCTACTCCTGCTTCTACTACTACGGCACCAGCTCCTTTTATAAAGGAAGCTGCAGAGGAGGAGCACTAGCCTTGGGTATGCCCTTCCTGTAAAGTCAGCTGTGTAAAATCTTCTGCCTAAATGACAACAAATGTTCTCAGTTCATTCTTACTAGCACTACCTGGGCTTTCTTCCAGGTGCTAGTTTGATGAATATTCTTTAACATAAAAATTTGAGGCCGGGCACGGTGGCTCACGCCTGTAATCCCAGCACTTTGGGAGGCCAGGGCGGGCGGATCACGAGGTCAGGAGGTCGAGACCATCCTGGCTAACACGGTGAAACCCAGTCCCTACTAAAAACACAAAAAATTACCCGGGCGTGGTGGCAGGCACCTGTAGTCCCAGCTACTCAGGAGGCTGACGCAGGAGAACGGCGTGAACCTGGGAGGCGGAGCTTGCAGTGAGCCGAGATCGCGCCACTGCACTTCAGCCTGGGCAACAGAGGAAGACTCTGTCCCCCGCAGCCCAAAAAAAAAATTTTTTTTGAACAAACTAAGCATGAATAAAGTTTTGTTAATGTTCTCCTAGTCTTTATACATATGCAAATAATTAGTTGTTTATAAGATTTTAGAGATTCGAGGCATAAGCTTAGAAAATACACTTATGAGAAACCTCAGAAGTAACAAAGTATAGATGTGGGAATTGGGTTTTTAAAATTTGATCTTCATAGTTCTAAATTCTCAGCCTTAAGGTAAACTTGAGATCGTTTTACTGACAAATAGAGAAAAGAGAAATACTATGCTTTGAAGTAGAACTATTACATACCTATTTTTTTGGTCTACAACTTTTATGATAAAGAACCATAATGATTTTTTCATATTTTTAAAAAAATGCTGAGGGGCAAAAAGAGCATGCATCCAACAACATGTTCCACCAGCTTAAAGAAAAGTAAAAAACATTCAACATACAAAAGCAAAATGATCAATTTTCTTCTGAAAAATTACATAAAGAAAAAAAGTCAAACCTGCAAGCCATTCAGAGCAAAACATGTGTTCATAGACAAATTAAAGACAAAATTATTTTTAAAAATAATCTATAGGCTAAAAACACAAGGAAATTTTTTTTGGAAAAAATTATGGGTCATAAGATGTAGCAGATACTTCATTAACAAGGAAGTTCTCATCTCCTCCTTTCTAGAAAATTTTCAGATTTTCACACTGAAACAAGCATGCTCTAGTCCTCCCAGACAATAAAGAAACATTGTCTTAATTTTCCTGTTCTCTGCCCTTTTAAATGTGCCCCACCTTCTATAGGAGTCCTTATATGTTGGCTTCTTGCCGTCTTTCACATTTCCACTTGTTGAAAACACAAAATGGAGATATATAGGCACGCTAAATGAGGAATCGGTGATGTGGTACTATGAATAAAGACCTTTCAGGGATGAAAAAGAACTGTATGATTTAAATTATGTCTTTGTATTTAGACCTGTGGGGTTTCAGCATGCTCAGGTGTTGATTCACTCTATTAATTCGATTTGGGAGCCTAGAAGCTGGAGGAGAAGAACTAACAAAAGGAGCTAGCTATGGAACTTTTCTTTAGACGGAGAATCAAGCAAAAGGATGAAACACAATTTCCTGAAGTTAATGTTTAGTCAACCAGAGAAATTTCTTCAATGCATAGCTTAGATTTAAATTTGCTTTTACACAACTTATAAAAAAGCAGGTATAATCCATACTCCTAATAAGACAGAAAATACTGTTTAGCCAGGCCTGATCTAGGCTTGCCTTGTTGTCACCAAGCTGTAGCTCCATTCCACTCACCTCTGTTTTACCCAGAGATTAGCCCCTAACTGGAGCTGACAGTATGCACAACTGCAGGGAGTCACATTCACATAGACTATGTGAATGGTGCAGTGGGAATGCTGCTCCATGAAACAACACTGAGGTAACTCTTGCTAGAGGAAGTCTCAGCTTGCTGTGCTGCTGAAACATTCTCATTTGGGGAGGAGACATTCTAAATTTAATTGCTGGAGTCTGCAATGAACTGTGAAAAACTGGATAAGCAGATAGCATTTTTTCTAAGACCAGTGATGTATGATTGCCATTTATTTAATGAACTGCAGGCTCTGAAAGAGAAGTTTAATTTACTAATCCCTCAAAGCCTACAGGACTTTTTGGGTCTTAACCCCACCTGCTCCTTTTTTGTCTCACTCTTCTCTAACTTTGCATATTGTCTTTCCCTTCTCCCTAACCCTGTGCACATCCTTTTATTTGTACCTTTCATCCTCAGTATGTCTCTTCCCTCATATCTTTTCTCTTTCCTTTTGTTATCTTTCAACTTTATTTCTGCTTATTGCTCTTATTTCTCCATTTGCTATTTTTTCACATATTTCCTCTATGTCTACTCTCTCTCTCTCTCTCTCTCTTTCTCTGTCTCTCTTTCATCTCTTGTGTCCCAGCAGGCACTATTGATCTCCATCTGGCTTTTTATCATCATCTGTATACACTTTCCCTTGCTTTTTCTTAATCTGCTTTTGTTAACATTGATTTTTTTTCTATTTTTCCAGTTTATTTTTTGCTATTCCTTTCTTCAACTGTCCATGACACAAAACCAAAGTACACTTCAATATCCTCTCTGTGGCTCCAGACAAATTATTCTTCCATGTCTGTCCTTCGGAATACACAGAATGCATCTGGAGACTCTACATTCCAATACCCAGGCCACTTAGAACTGACATTTTCATTGTATCTTGATTGTGTTACAATTTAACAAAAATGTATGAAATACACTAAAGTATTTTTGCAATATTTATTTCTGCACACAAGACTACTAAAGCCAGCCTGTGTGATCCTTAACCCCAAATCTATATGTCTTCCTCACTGATTTTAGAATTCTTGAAAAAAAAATGCTTAAAACGATTTCAAAACTCAAGCATTTTTCTGTTGACCATTTGTGTACACAAAGGAAAGCCTGCCCACCAGGCTTGCTGCACTCAATTATTACAGCTGCAATAAAGTTTGCCTTTTGGCAGCAACACTCATATGATTTTGGAACTTAAATAATGATTTAGACAAATGCCAAGGAAGAAACTTTCCCACATGATTTAGCACCTTCTTCAAGAAATTAGAAAATGAACCACAAAATAGACCAAAGAAGTAACAAACTCATATAAATAAGCACAAAAATATATGAGTTAGAATCTAGAAGCTGGTGCATTGAAAAAAAAAACACATAAAATAGATTTAGCATCTAGCTAAACTAGCTAAGGTGAATAAAAAGAAAAAAATTCAAATACACAAAATAAGAATTGGTTAAGGGCAGAATAATACAGAAACAGAAATAATTACAGGACCACAATGGACTACGTTGTTCAATTATGGCCAAATAAATTCTGAAAAATGGGATGAAATAAATAATATTCAAAGAAAATATAATTTTTAAAAATTGACTTAAGAAAGAGAAAGATCTAAATAGACTGATATTCAGGATTGATATTCTAGATGATTTTAAGGCAGGACTTCCAACAATCAAAACAGAATGTAGCCGTACATGTGCATTTGGGCTGAATATCAATCTTGTCAACAGCCATGGGAAAAATAAAAATTTGACAAAGAATTACCTTAGAAGAAGCATAAGGTACTGATGATTAATGTTCGACATCACTATTCATCAGAGAAATTCAAATTAAAATGACAATGAGATATCATCTCATCCCACGTAAAATGGCTTCTATTCAAAAGACAGGTAATGATGAATGTTGGTGAGGATGTGGAGAAAGGGGAACACTTGTGGATTGTTGGAAGAAATATAAATTAGTACAGCCACTACGGAGAACAGTATGGAGGTTCCTCAAAAAAACAAAAACAAAACCACTGTATGTTTCATCAATCCCACTGTTGGGCATATACCCAAAAGAAAGAAAATCAGTATATCAAAGGAATATTGCACTCCCATGTTTATCACAGCACTGTTACAATAGCCAAAATTTGGAATCAACCCAAATGTCCATCAATAGATGAACAAATAAAGGAAATGTGGTATATATACACAATGTAATATTATTCACCTATAAAAATGAATGAAATCCTGTCATTTGCAACAACATGGAGGGAACCGGAGGATATTATGTTAAATTAAATAAGCCAGGCCAGAAAGACAAATACTACATGTTCTCATTCATATTCAGAAGCTGAATAAATATTGAACTCATGGAGATGGAGAATAGAATGATGGCTACTAGAAGTCAGGAGGAGTAGTGAAGAGTGAAGAGGGAGGGAGGGATAAAGAGAAGAGGGTTAATGGTTTTATATATTTATGTATATATATATATAGAGAGAGAGAGAGAGAGGATTAGGTAGGAGGAGTAAGATCTGATGTTCAGTAGCACAATAGGGTAACTACAGTTAATAATTTATTGTATATTTCAAAATAAAAGGGTGGAGTTGGAATGTTCCTAACAGAAAGAAATGACACATTATTAGAGTGACAGATACTCTAATTACTCTGATTTGATCATTACATATTGTATGCTTGTTTTAAAATATCACACATACTCCATTAATTATGTACAGCTAGTATGTATTCATAATAATTAAAAATTTAAAAAGAGGGAATTCTACCATAGCTTCAAAGAGTAGATCATTCTGAACTTCTGAAATTATTTTAGAACACAGAAAAAAAAGAAAACTTCCAAAGAATAACAATGATAGCAAAACGTGACAAAGATTAAAAAAGACATACACAATTATAAACAAATATTACTTAAGACTACTGATGAAAAATTTCTAGATCAATCATTAACAAGAGGATCTAACAGGACACTATTAGACTATTATATAATAATTAAGAAGAGTTTTGTTCCATCCTGTATTGCTGCTTGAGAAACATCCCAAAATTTAGTGACTTAAAATAATAATGGGCTGGGCATGGTGGCTCATGCCTGTAATCCCAGCACTTTGGGAGGCCGAGGCGGGTGGATCACCTGAGATCGGTGGTCGAGACCAACTTGACCAACATGGAGAAACCCCATCTCTACTAAAAATACAAAATTAGCCAGGCATGGTGTCGTATGCTTATAATCCCAGCTGCTCAGGAGGCTGAGGCAGGAGAATCTCTTGAACCCAAGAGGCAGAGGTTGTGGTAAGCCAAGATCGCACCATTGCACTACAGCCTGGGTAATAAGTGCAAAACTCCATTTCAAAAAATAATAATAGAATAATGATCTGCTGTTCCAATTCTGTGGGTGAGGAATTTGGGTAGGGCTCACTGGGGATTGCTAATCTACACACTAAACAGTATTGGCTGAGCTCATTCATGCGGGTGCATTAAGCTGAGAGCTGGGCTGGGCTGTATGGTCCAAGATGGCGTCCTAGTATGTCTAAGGCCTTGTTGTGGGCTGCCAGCTGGGGCACTGATTCTTTTCTATGTGGCCTTTCTCTTCAGGTGACCTCTCATCCCCCAAGACCTTTCTCTCTCATGGAATACCCTGATGATTACTGACATTGAACATTGTCATATACACTTACTGCCAATTGTATGTCTTCTTTAGAAAACTATCTATTCAAGTTTTTAACCTATTTTTAGTAGACCTGAGAGTTTTTTTGGCTATGGAATTGAAGGAATTCCTTATATATTTGGAAATTAAACCTTTGTCATATATATGGTTTGCAAATATTTTCTCCTAATCTGTAGGATGACTTTTAACTTTGTTGATTGTTTATTTTGCTTTGCATTAGACTTTCAGTTTGATGTAGTCTAATTGTTTTTGTCACCCGGAGTTTTGGTGTCATATTCAAGAAAACATTGTAAAGATCAACGTCAAGAAGTTTTCCTCCTTTGCTGCTTTCTAGGATTTTTAGAGTTTCATGTCTTACTTAATTTAAGTCTTTAATCCATTTGGATCTGCTTTTTGTGCTTGGTGTAAGAGTTCAATTTCATTCTTACACATGTGGATATCCAGCTTTCCTAGCACCATTTATTGAAGAGAATCTTCTTTCTCTGTTATATATTCTTGGAAACCTTGTCAATGGTCAATTGACCATTTATTTCTGGTCATGAATTTATTTCTGGTCCCTCTATTCTGTTTCATTTAGCCTATACATCTGTCTTTATGCTAATACCATACTCTTTTAATTATGGTAGCTTTGTAATGTATTTTGAAATCAGAAAGTGTGATGCCTACAGGTATATTCTTCCTTCTCAAGATTGATTTGGCTATTCACAATCTTTTGTGTTCCCATATGAATTTCAGAATTGTTATTTCTATTTATTTAGAAAATGCCATTGTGATTTTGATTGCATTGAATCTGTGAACATTTTAGCAAGATTCTTTCAACACATGAATACAAAATGCCATTCATTTATGTATTCTTTATTTCACCAAGGTTTTGTAGTTTTCAATCTAGAAGTCTTTTACATCCTTATTTAAGTTTATTTCCAAGTATTTTATTCTTTTTCATACTATTGTAAATGTAACTGTTTTCCTAATTTATCTATCGTATAGCTCACTGTTAGTGTACAGATATGTAACAGATTTTATTTGTTGACTCTGTATCCTGCAACTTTACTGAATTCATTTATTACTTCTAACAGTTTTTTGGTGGAGTCTCTAGGGTTACATATATATAAGGTCATATCACCTGAAAACAGGGACAGTTTTACTTCTTACGTTCTGATATGGATGCCTTTTATTTTTTCTTGTCTAATTATTCAAGCTAGGACTTCTTGTTTTGAACAGAAATAGCAAGAATGGAATCCTTGTATTATTTCTGATCTTAGGGGGAAAACATTCAGTTTTTCACTATCGAGTATGATGTTAGCTGTGGACTTTACATATATGGCCTTTATTATGTCGAGGTATATTCCTTTTATTTCTAAATTTGGTGACAGTTTTTATCATAAAATGGTGTTGAATATTGTCAAATGCCTTTTCAGCACCTGTTGAGATTATTACGTAATTTTTATTTTTCATTCTGTAAATGTAGTATATAACATTAATTGATTTTTGTATGTTGAACCGTCCTCCTTGCATCGCAGGGATAAAACCCCTTTAGTCATGATGTATGATTATTTTAAGATGCTTCTGGATTCTGTTTGTTACTATTTTGTTGAGGATTTTTGCATCTATATTCATAAAAGTTATTGGTGTATAATTCTCCTGTGGTGTCTTTGTCTGGCTTTGGTATCAGGATAAAGCTGGTCACTTAAACTAGTTGGAAGCTTTCCCTCCTCTTCAATTTTTGGAGGAGCTTGAGAAATGTTGGCTTTAATTGTTCAGATGTTTAGTAGGATTCACCAATGAAGCTACTGGGCAAGGGCTTTTCATCACTGGGAAGTTTTTTATTTACTGATTCAATCTCCATAGTAGTTATAAGTATGTTCAGACTTTGTATTACTATATAATTTAGACTTGGTAGGTTTTATGTTTCTAGGAATGTATCCATTTCTTCTGGGTTTTCCAGTTTATTGGCATGTAATTGTTCATAGGTGTCTCTTATGATCCTTATATTTCTGTGGCATCAACTGTAGCGTCTCTTCTTTCATTTCTGATTCATTTTCATCTTCTCTCCCTTTTCTTAGAATACCAAGAGGTTGACAATTTCACCTTTTAAAAAAACTAACTTTTGACTCTTTCTTTGTTTTGAAAATCATCTATTTCCTTTATTTCTGCTCTAATCTTGTTATTTCTTTCCTTCTGCTAACTTTGAGCTTAATTTTTTCTTCTTTTTCTAGGTCCTTGAGGTGTAAATTTAGGTTGTTTATTTGAGATTTTTCTTTTTTAATGCATTTAACAAAAATAAATATCCCTCTTAGTACTGCTTTTGCTCCATCCATAAGTTTTAGTATGTTTTGTTTTCATTTTCATTTTACTCAAGGTATTGCCTAATTTTAAAAAAATTATTCTTTGAAACAAGGGCTTCTCAAAAGTGTGTTGTTTACTTTCTACATAAAGACCTGGAATGGCGAATCATGCTTATAATCCCAGCAGTTTGGGAGGTAAAAGGAGGAGAACTGCTTGAGCCCAGGAGTTTGAGACTACCCTGGGCAATATAAGTAGGCCCTGTCTCTACAAAAATAAATTTTTTAAAAAACCTAGCTGAGTGTAGTGTCATGCACCTGTGGTCCCAGCTACTCAGGAGGTTGAGGTGGGAATATTGCTTGAGCCCAAGAGGTCAAGGCTGCAGTGAGTCATGTCTGCCACAGAACTCTAGCCTGGGTGACAAAGACTTGGTTTAAAAAAAAAAAAAGGGGGGGGGGCGGGGGGGCTGGGCCTGGTGGCTCACGCCTGTAATCCCAACAGTTTGGGAGGCTGAGGCGGGTGGATCACGAGTTCAGGAGTTCGCGACCAGCCTGACCAATATGGTGAAACGCCGTCTCTACTGAAAATACAAAAATTAGCCAGGCATGGTGGTGCGTGCCTGTAGTCCCAGCTATTCGGGAGGCTGAGGCATAAGAATTGCTTGAACCAGGAGGTGGAGGTTGCAGTAAGCTGAGATCCACCACTGCACTCCAGCTTGGGCGTCAGAACGAGACTCAGTCTCAAAAAAAAAAAAAAAGGAAAAGAGAGAGAGGGAGAAAGAAATAAAAAGAAAGAAGGAAGGAAGGAAGGGAGAGAGAAAAAGAAAGAGAAAGAAAGAAAGAAAAAAAGAAAGAAAGAAAGAAAGAAAGAAAGAAAGAAAGAAAGAAAGAAAGAAAGAAAAGAAAAGAAAAGAAAAGAAAAGAAAGGAAAGAAAGAAAGAAAAAGAAAGAAAGAAATTCTACATATTTGTGAATGTTTTTGATTGGAAGATAAACTTGATATAATTCTATCTTTTTGAATTTGTTAAGACTTGCTTGTGACCTAACATGTGATCTATGCTGGAGAAAGTTCTGTGGCACGTGAGATGAGTGTGTATGCTGCTGCTGTTGGGTCGAAGGAATATCCTTTATGTCCATTAGGTCCATTTGGTCTATACTGTTGTTCAAGCTCAATGTTTGCTTATTGTTCTTCTATCTGCTTGTTTTATCCATTATTGAATGTGGGGTATTGATATCTTCTATTATTTTGTATTGCCGTCTATTTCTCCAATTCTGTCAATATTGATTTATATATTTAGATGCTCTTATGTTGGGTACATATATATTTATAATTGTTATATCTTTCTAGTTAATTCATCCTTTTATCATTATATAATGATCTCTGTTTTTTGCAATACTTTCTCACCTAATGTCTATTTTATCTAATGTAAGTATAGCCACACCTGCTCTCCTTTGGTTAGCATTTGCAAGAAATGTCATTTTCCATATCTTCAATTTTAGCCTACATGTCCTTAAATCTAAAATGAGTTTCTTATAAACAGCCCAATTTTTTAATATAAAACTGCTTAATAATAAAATACATCTTTCTCATTCCTAAAGCCAGCATCATGATTAACTGGAAAACACTAGAAGATTTCTTCGTAACAATAAGAAAAAAAAAAAAGCCCATCCTCACTATTTTTAATCAATATTTTACTAGGCATACTCAGCTGATAAAATACATAAAAGGAAAAGGGCTAAAGTATAAAAATCAGGAAAGAGAAAATAAATTATTTATATCTGACAGAATTGTGAATCTAGAAAACTTAAATTCAATGACTGAATTTACCAAGTTAGTAGAGTGCAAAATTAATCCACAGAAAGCAATAGCTTTGAAAATATATAAGGGCAACCTAGGAGAAGCTACATTTGGAGCAAAAATTAATTTATATTAGCAACAAAAGAGATAAAGTACCTATAAATAAACATAAGAAAAATGCAAGGCATATATGAAAACATTTTAACACTACTGAAGAACTCAAAAGCAATACTGAATAAATGGAAATACATGCCATATTGTTAGAGATACTATATCTCAACATTATGGAGTGTTAATTTTTCTAAAGTTAATTTTTTTAAGTGATGCAAGTAAATTTACAACTAGATTGTTAGAAGTAGACAAGCTAATTCTAAATTTGATATAAAAATGAATAAACAAAATAGCTAGGAAAACATTGAAAAGCACTGGCAATATAGAACTAGCCCAATTACATAAATATATAAGAAAATAATTAAAACTATATATTAAAATGTATTATACAGTCCAAATATAGGCTTATGGTTAGAATAGCTTAGAATAAAGGACTAGAATAAAAAATTCAGAATTAGACAAAAAAAGAAATGGGAATTTAGTATTTGAAAAAGTTGGCAATTAAAATCAGGAAAATTGTTAAGGGAAGATGGATGACGCAATAAATATTTTTGAGACAAGTGAATAGGCAGATGGATCTACACCTCACACCATACACCAAAAAAAAAAAAAAAAAAAAAAAAATTCAAACAGACCAATACTTACAATGTACATAACAAATCCTTAAAAATAGTAAAAGATAATATTGGTCACATTTTGTCAAATTCTGTCATTTTTAATCTTAGGGTGAAAAAGACTTTTCATAAATAGAACAAAAAAATCCATAAACCACAGAGGAAAATTAATAAATACATTCTATTACAAAGAAAAATGACTATACGGCAAAAAAATGCTATAAGCAAAATTAAAAAAAAAAGATGAGAAACAATAAGTATTTGTAGCTCTTACCATAGACAGAGAGTCGCATAGATTAATAGATATATAGTCCCAGGTTTTTGTATAGACAAAAATCCAGTAAAAAATGGGCAAAAAAAATAATTTCCAAATAAAGAAAAAACAAAAGGCTCTGTAAACATATGAAAGGTGTTCAAACTACTTACCTTAAGAAAATTAAAATGCTAAAAATTACACTGTATTTAGAAACCATATTTTACCTCTCAGATTGTTAAAACCCAAATGTTGTCAACACCCTCCGTTGGGAAGACTAAAGAAAAACAGGCACTCATATATTACTGGTGAGGATATAAACTTGCACAACTCCTCTGAAAGGCACTGGAAATATGTAACAACATTACAAAGGCATATATACTTTGACCCAGAAATTACACTTCTGAGAATTTATCCTGCAAGTATTCTTCCACATGTTAAAAGACATATGTAAATGGTTATTCTTTGTGGCATTGTGTCTAGTACACAAGAAATCTAAAACAACCCAAAGGCCAACCAATAGAAAATTGGTTAAATAAATTATGATATATCCATAATAAGGAAAACTTGTTTAAAAAATGATAATAACTAGAAAATTCTCCATGTACTGGAATGGAAAAATTTATCTGAAATGAGGCTAAATGACAAATGCAAGATGCCAAATATTATGTTTACTATGCTAATTTTCATTTTAAAATGAAGGGGGAAAAATTAAAAACACTAATAATGTATTATATTTGCATTTTATAGACCCTGAAAGGATACACAAGAAATTACTGATGTTATTACCGAGGATAGGGAGGGATGGGGGGTAAATCAGGGAAAGAAGGGTCTATAATCTAAAGAAAGTTAACTTTCTAACTTTAATGTATAGAAATTTGGAGCATTTTTTGTGAAAGATAATATGTACAAGTTTTCTTAAAGTGGAGAGATCATACAAAGGAAAGAGAATCACATATTATACTAGACTTTGCAAACACAGTAATATACTGTGGCAATAGTTATAAAGGATAAGTGAGTTTACATATTAATCCAAATTACTTCTCATTTGTGGAGGCAAATACAACATATTTTCAAATATGGAGCAGGTATTTAAAACGCTTGATAATACCTTAGTCAAGTGAAAAATAAATAATAAATACATAAGAAAGTATATATTCAGGAATTGAATAAAATTTACAGTTAAGTTTAAATTTACAGATGCATTTTCAGCAACTATTTAGTCCAGGTAAGTTTATCCACTGGGTTAAATTCCTCTAAGCCAGGAACAAAAGGCTCTTACATTAGGTTGTAAAAAGACACAAAGGCAAAGCCAATCAGATGTAATGTATAAAACAATATATAGCAGGTACAATGAACAACAACAACAAAAATCCAGAATGGCAAAATCAAAATCAGTGTGCAATCTATTAATCAATCAATCACAGCCTATCAGGAATGAATTGCTCAATAGAGCACTGAACATATCAAAAAATGAATTATTAAAAATACAAGGAAAGCTGACTTTATAGTAAATGTATTAAAATTACTAGAAAAAATATAACAATATATTCTTCAAATGACTTGGGTTAAAAAGTAAATAAAAGTTTCTGTCTTGATTAAAGCTTTACTAAGAGATCTACAATGTAAAATAGGGCCTGTGTTATATATCAGGAGTGATTTTTCATCTATTTTTAAAATCTGTCTAAAAGTGACTTTTAACATCTTAACATTCTGTGTATGTTAAAATGGTAACAGGGAGCCTAAGAATCTGAAAGAAATCTACCATTGAAGAAATGGTAAATAAATCTGAAAATTATTCACTTTAATAAATTGTTCCTAAGTCCAATGTTTCCCGGAGTCCTTTGAAATAAATTTATAGGAGTTGAAACATAAAATCTAATTAGCCTCATAACTACCAGTTTTTGAAGTCTTACTATGTTCAAGACTCTAACTTAGATATGTAAAATACATATCAAATATGTATATATATGTATGTATATAAACATAAAATAGGGTCTTAAAATTTTGAATATTGAATGATTTGGTTTCTGTTTTAAGTTAGTATTTACCTCACAAGAATTACATTAATATTGATTTATATTATGTAATAATACCTATTATAAATATGAAAAAAGAGTTTCTGAGAAGGGAGGAACTAGCTCAATGATAGATCATCTAAGAGGTGATCAAGCCAAAATTTGAATTGAAGAAGAGAAACTGAGTTAAATGATGTGGCACATAATTATCTATAATTTCTGTGATTTTGAATTGTAATGTATTAGAACAATAAAACCGATAGTACTTCTCTTTACCTTACAGTGAAATGTAGAACTTGCTTTTTCACAGACTCCAGCTTTTTATTTGGATATTTTGTTTGATCCTTTTTTATTGATGGTTTCTTCAAAGGAAGAAAATGGGCCTCAATGGGGGGAAAGAATAGTTTGGAAAGAGTGTTGGCAATTCTCCACCCAATATATTTGGAGAAAACTTCTTCTCCTACATTTGATGAAATATTTGTACTATATCTAGTGAAAGGATCAGTTGGGTCATTTAACTCAGCCTGTTGAAAGAAAAGAGAAAGGAATCAGTTGAAACAGGATTAAATGGGAGAAAAAAAATCGTGTATTATTAAATTTTTTAAAGTATCTTTATTTTCTTTGACTAATATTGCATTTTTCCTGTTAAGTAAAAATAATCTTTATAAAAAAATTGCAGTTTTCCAAAAGACTTCAAAAAGCAAAACAGCAAATTTCAGTGAAATAAACATTAATGCATCCAGTCTTGAAATTTTGAAAATTTAGTTAGGTAATTTTTATTTTAAATTTGATATACGTGCCGTGTAAGAATTTCATAAGCATTCTGAAATTTTATTTAATAAGAAATTAAGCAATCAGTTGAAGTAATGTACATTTTATTAAATCAGACTTTTTTTTAATGCACAATCTAAACTGTTCTTGATATCAACAGAGCATTTTTTTTTTCTTTTTTGAGAAAGAGTCTTGCTGTGTCTCCCAGACTGGAGTGCAGTGGCACAATCTTGGCTCACTGCAACCTCCATCTCCTGGGTTCAACCGATTCTCCTGCCTCAGCCTCCCAAGTAGCTAGGACTACAGGCATGGACCATCACTCCTGGCTAATTTTTGTTATTTTTAGTAGAGATGGGGTTTCATCATGTTGGACAGGCTGGTCTTGAACTCCTGACCTCAGGTGATCCACCTGCCTCAGCTTCCCAAAGTGCTGGGATTACAGGCGTGAGCCACCATGCCCGGCCAAACAGAACATTTTTATAGAGCAAAAATTTTAAGTGAAAAGCAAATAAGAGCTTTGTATTTAGCTTAAATTGACGATGTTTAAGATTTTGATTTTGATTAAATTGAATATGTTCTAAAATCAAAATGTAAAAAAAATACCAAAATTTCCCATTATTTAAGCAATATTTATTCAGGAAAAGGCTATTTTCTGAAATTTCCTTTTCCTGTTTGATAATGTCCAGGATTGCTTCTTCTTTACTTCTTTTAAAGTGGCCAGAGGCATATTTTCTCTGGCAGGAATCAGCAATAATAAATGAAAATGTAAGTAAAAGGGCATATGTTACAACTTTTTTATGTTCATGATATGTACATACTATTAATTCCTTTTCTTGTAAATAAGTCGGATACTGCCTTTTATCATTTGTTTTTACATTTTCATTGAGTATTATCTGTCTTCAGGCAGCTCATTACTAGTGACTCAGGATTCATTTTAGATTCATATCAATCTTGCGATAGGAAAGACAGAAATAGAAAATGTTTTTCTGTACATGAACATCTAACTTAACCTCTTTCAGGTTCCAAAATTAGGCCTGGCTAAATTACTGACGAAAGACTGATTATTGAATTATTTAGACAAAAGTATAGTAGAGAAAATGAGTACAGTCTCAGGATATAGACTGAACGAAAAACAGTTAAAGTAATGAGAAAAATAGCAAAAGGCAGGTATGCAAATATGTGTCACTGTGAAAGTCATAGAGGATGGGAAAGAATAACATGGAAAAAAACATTTACAAAGGATAAGGTGAAAATCATGCAAGTAAGCAAGCATGTGATTCAGTAATCCCACTACTGGGTATATCCAAAAGAAAATCAGTACGTCAAAGAGAGAGCTGCCCTGCCATGTTTATTGCAACATTACTCTCAATAGCCAAGCTATGAAATCAAGCTAAGTGTCCATCAACAGATGAATGGATAAATAAAATGTGGTATATATACACAATGGGATAGTATTGAGCCATAAAAATAGAAGAAAATTCTACCATTTGTAACAACATGGATGAACCTGGGGGACATCATGTTAAGTGAAATAAACCAGGCACAGAAAGACAAATACCACATGATCTCACTTACATGTAAAATCTAAAATGTTGATCTCATATAAGTAGAGTAGGATGGTGTTTACCAGGGGCTGACGGGTGAAGGGCTGGGGAGATGTTGGTCAAAAGATTTCAGTTAGAAGAAATAAATTCAAGAGCTCTAATGTACAACATGGTGACTGTAGTTAATACAAATACATCATATCTTGAAAAATGCTGAGAGTAGATGTTAAATGTTCTCAAAAAAGAAATAATAACTATATGAGGTTATTTGTTAATTAGCTCAATTTGACCATTTCACAATGTATGTATTGTCAGGCCTCTGAGCCTAAGCTAAGCCATCATATCCCCTGTGACCTGCCCGTACACATCCAGATGGCCGGTTCCAGCCTTAACTGATGACATTCCACCACAAAAGTGAAAATGACCTGTTCCTGCCTTAACTGATGACATTATCTTGTGAAATTCCTTCTCCTGGCTCATCCTGGCTCAAAAGCTCCCCTACTGAGCACCCTGTGACCCCCACTTCTGCCCGCCAGAGAACAACCCCCCTTTTTCCTTTACCTACCCAAATCCTATAAAATGGCCCCACCCCATCTCCCTTCACTGACTCTCTTTTTAGACTCAGCCCGCCTGCACCCAGGTGATTAAAAGCTTTATTGCTCACACAAAGCCTGTTTAGTAGTCTCTTCACACGGACACACATGAAATTTGGTGCTGTGACTCGGATTGGGGGACCTCCCTTGGGAGATCAATCCCCTGTCCTCCTGCTCTTTGCTCTGTGAGAAAGATCCACCTATCAGGTCCTCATACCGACCAGCCCAAGAAACATCTCACTAATTTCAAATCCGGTAAGTGGCCTCTTTTTACTCTCTTCTCCAACCTCTCTCACTATCCCTCAATCTCTTTCGCCTTTCAATCTTGGCGCCACACTTCAATCTCTCCCTTCTCTTAATTTCAATTACTTTCATTTTCTGGCAGAGACAAAGGAGACATGTTTTATTCGTCTCCTTTTAGCCCTCCCCCACCTGCCCAGCAATTTACTCTTAAAAAGGTGGCTGGAGCCAAAGGCATAGTCAAGGTTAATGCTCCTTTTTCTTTATCCCAAATCAGATAGCGTTTAGGCTCTTTATCATCAAATATAAAAACCCAGCCCAGTTCATGGCTCGTTTGGCAGCAACCCTGAGATGCTTTACAGCCCTAGACCCTAAGAAGTCAAAAGGCCGTCTTATTCTCAATATACATTTTATTACCCAATCTGCTCCCAACATTAAATAAAACTCCAAAAATTAAATTCTGACCCTCAAACTCCACAACAGGACTTAATTAACCTTGCCTTCAAAGTGTACAATCACAGAAAAAAGTTGCAATTCCTTGCCTCCACTGTGAGACAAACCCCAGCCATATCTCCAGCACACAAGAACTTCCAAACGCCTGAACTGCAGCGGCCAGGCATTCCTCCAGAACCTCCTCCCCCAGGAGCTTGCTACAAGTGCCAAAAATCTGGCCACCAAGCCAAAGAATAGCCGCAGCCCAGGATTCCTCCTAAGCCGTATCCCATTTGTGCAGGATCCCACTAGAAATCGGACTGTTCAACTCACCTGGCAGCCACTCCCAGAGCCCCTGGAACTCTGGCCCAAGGCTCTCTGACTGACTCCTTCCCAGATCTTCTCGGCTTAGCGGCTGAAGACTGACGCTGCCCGATCGCCTCAGAAGCCCCCTAGACCATCACGGATGCCGAGCTTCAGGTAACTCTCACAGTGGAAGGTAAGTCCGTCCCCTTCTTAATCAATACGGAGGCTACCCACTCCACATTACCTTCTTTTCAAAGGCCTGTTTCCCTTGCCTCCATAACTGTTGTGGGTACTGATGGCCAGGCTTCCAAACCTCTTAAAACTCCCCAACTCTGGTGCCAACTTACACAATACTCTTTTAAGCACTCCTTTTTAGTATCCCCACCTGCCCAGTTCCCTTATTAGGCTGAGACACTTTTAACTAAATTATCTGCTTCCCTGACTATTCCTGGACTACAGCTATATCTCATTGCTACCCTTCCCAATCCAAAGCCTCCTTTGCATCCTCCTCTTGTATCCCCCCACCTTAACACACAAGTATAAGATAACTCTACCCCGTCCTTGGCGACCGATCATGCACTCCTTACCATCTCATTAAAACCTAATCACCCTTACCCCGCTCAATGCCAATATCCCATCCCACAGCATGCTTTGAAAGGATTAAAGCCTGTTATCACTCGCTTGCTACAGCATGGCCTTTTAAAGCCTATAAACTCTCCTTACAATTCCCCCATTTTACCTGTCCTAAAACCAGACAAGGTTTACAAGTTAGTTCAGGATCTGCGCCTTATCAACCAAACTGTTTTGCCTATCCACCCTGTGGTGCCCAACCCGTACACTCTATTGTCCTCAATACCTTCCTCCACAACCCACTATTCCGTTCTTAATCTTAAAGATGCTTTTTTCACTATTCCCCTGCACCCCTCGTCCCAGCCTCTCTTTGCTTTCACCTGGACTGACCCTGACATCCATCAGTCCCAGCAGATTACCTAGGCTGTACTGCCGCAAGGCTTCACAGACAGCCCCCATTACTTCAGTCAAGCCCAAATTTCATCCTCATCTGTTACCTATCTCGGCATAATTCTCATAAAAGCACACATGCTCTCCCTGCTGATCGTGTCCGATTAATCTCCCAAACCTCAATCCCTTACAAAACAACAACTCCTTTCCTTCCTAGACATAGTTACTGCAGTCAGAATTCCTACACAAGAGCCAGGACCGCACCCTGTAGCCTGTCCAAACAACTTGGACTTACTGTTTTAGCCTAGCCCTCATGTCTGTGTGCAGCAGCTGCCGCTGCTTTAATACTTTTAGAGGCCCTAAAAATCACAAACTATGCTCAACTCACTCTACATTTCTCATAACTTCCAAAATCTGTTTTCTTCCTCACACCTGATGCATATACTTTCTGCTCCCCGGCTCCTTCAGCTGTACTCACTCTTTGTTAAGTCTCCCACAATTACCATTGTTCCTGGCCCGGACTTCAATCTGGCCTCCCACATTATTCCTGATACCACACCTGAACCTCATGACTGCATCTCTCTGATCTCCTGACGTTCACCCCATTTCCCCACATTTCCTTCTTCCCTGTTCCTCACCCTGATCACACTTAGTTTATTAATGGCAGTTCCACCAGGCCTAATCGCCACACACCAGCAAAGGCAGGCTATGCTATAGTACAAGCCACTAGCCCGCCTCTTAGAACCTCTCAGTTCCTTTCCATCGTAGAAATCTATCCTCAAAGATATAACTTCTCAGTGTTCCATCTGCTATTCTACTACTTCTCAAGGATTATTGAGGCCCTCTCCCTTCCCTACACATCAAGCTCCAGGATTTGCCCCCGCCCAGGACTGGCAAATTAGCTTTACTCAACATGCCCCAAGTCAGGAAACTAAAATACCTCTTAGTCTAAGTAGACACTTTCACTAGATAAGTAGAGGCCTTTCCCACAAAGGCTAAGAAGGCCACCACAGTCATTTCTTCCCTTCTGTCAGACATAATTCCTCAGTTTGGCCTTCTCACCTCTATACAGTCTGATAGCAGACCAGCCTTTATTAGTCAAATCAGCCAAGCATTTTTTCAGGCTTAGTATTCAGTGAAACCTTTATATCCCTTACAGTCCTCAGTCTTCAAGAAAAGTAGAACAGACTAATAGTCTTTCAAAAACACACCTCACCAAGCTCAGCTACCAACTTAAAAAAGACTAGACAATACTTTTATCACTTTCCCTTCTCAGAATTCAGGCCTGTCCTCAGAATGCTACAAAGTACAGCCCATTTAAGCTCCTGTATAGACTCTCCTTTTTATTAGGCCCCAGTCTCATTCCAGACACCAGACCAACTTAGACTGTGCCCCAAAAAAACTTGTCATCCCTACTATCTTCTGTCTAGTCATACTCCTATTCACCGTTCTCAACTACTCATACATGCCCTGCTCTTGTTTACACTGCTGGTTTACACTGTTTCTCCAAGCCATCACAGCTGATATCTCCTGGTGCTATCCCCAAACTATCACTCTTAACTCTTAAAGTAAATAAATAATCTTTGCTGGCAAGACTATGCTGAATCTCCTTAGGCACTCTCTAATCAGATGTCCTAGGTCATCCCAATTCTTAGACCTTTTATACCTGTTTTTCTCCTTATTCCGTTTTTCAATTCATACAAAACCATATCCAGGCCATCACCAATAATTCTAAATGACAAATATTTCTTCTAACAACCCCACAATATCACCCCTTACCACAAAATCTTCCTTCAGCTTAATCTCTCCCACTATAAGTTCCCACACCGCCCCTAATCCCGCTCAAAGCAGCCCTGAGAAACATCACCCATTATCTCTCCATACCACCCCCCAAAAATTTTTACTGTCCCAACACTTTACCACTATTTCGTTTTTTCTTATTAATATAAGAAGATAGGAATGTCAGGCCTCTGAGCCCAAGCTAAGCCATCATATCCCCTGTGACCTGCCTGTACACATCCAGATGACCGGTTCCTGCCTTAACTGATGACATTCCACCACAAAAGAAGTGAAAATGGCCTGTTCCTGCCTTAACTGATGACATTATCTTGTGAAATTCCTTCTCCTGGCTCATACTGACTCGAAAGCTCCCCTACTGAGCACCTTGTGACCCTCACTCCTGCCTGCCAGAGAACAACCCCCCTTTTTCCTTTACCTACCCAAATCCTATAAAACGGCCCCACACCTATCTCTCTTCGCTGACTCTTTAGACTCAGCCCGCCTGCACCCAGGTGATTAAAAGCTTTATTGCTCACACAAAGCCTGTTTAGTAGTCTCTTCACATGGACGCGCATGAAGTGTATATTTTAAAACATCATGTTTTACACAGTAAATGTATACAATTTTATTCTTCATTGTAGAAAAATAAAATGTTAAAAATTAATGACACCACCAAAAAAGAGCTCCTCCTTTTTTTACTCAAAATATAGTACAGTATTGCACAAATGAAGATATTATGGTGAACTCTGGAATTACTAAGGGAGTTATGAACGAATAAATGAATGAGTAAACAAATGGACCAAAAAAATGATGTCTTCTCATGATATAATTTTTGGTAAAACACACTGTAATCAAAGATAGCATTAATCTGTGAGGCAGGAGAATAGGGTCTGGAGAAAGGGAACCTAAAGCCGATTCTCACTGGCTTCCTAGAACTAAATCAAAATCAAAACGCCAACTTTCCACACCCAAATTATAAAAGGACCAGAAGCTACTCTCCTTGCAACCCCCACTTTCCTGTGTGGCAGATGAAAAACTGAAAGTACCTGTGGTTGATCCTTTCCTGCAACCGATCAGACTGATCGTGGGTTAAGTCTTTACTTGCATAGGATTTGGGATTTATTATTCTCCTTTCCCCTTTTGCTATCTGCTCCATACAGGGGAGTCTTTTGTTCTCTCTTTTTCTGTCTTTTCCTTTCCAACGTGGGACCCTTGGTAGGCAGTGCCTAAACACAGAGGCAACTGCAGGTTTCCGGCTGGGGCCAATCTCTGGAGAAATGGAAAGGTTTCCATGTGGAAGCCCTTGACTGCCACCACCCAGTTCTAGTAAGGGAACTGAGCCCTTTGCCTTTTTTTTCTTTTTCAGTATTTCAGCAGCTGTTTCCTAGCAGCTCCTTGGTATTTGAGGGCAACTGGCCAGGGCCACTCTCTGGTGTTGCCTGAAGGCCAAGGAGTGAATGAGGATAGCTGCCTTGCCTGGAAGGAGGATGGACTCTTTTCTATCTTTTCTGATTATAGTCCCTGATCTCTACGTGTGACACAATTGGCAGTGGTACAGGGTGAACTCACGTTTCAGGCCACTTAAACCTTCTTTTCTTATAGTCACTGATTCCTACATGTGACACAATTGGCAGCAACAGCTCCTCCAGAGTGAACTCACACACATTTCAGGTGACTTGAGCCTTCTTTTTTCATGCTAAATTCTTCTCTTCCCCTACTTGATGGGTCAAAGACAAAAGGAACCCACCTAGCTATGCAAAGAATGTTATAAAGAAAATAGATGACTGGTTGTTTAAAAAGAGGGATGGGATGTTTAGGACAAGTCAGAGGGTCTGGGAATGTTGTAGATGGTCTGTGTGGGGCATGGGGGGCATTCATGAAAAGGAATTTATGCAGGAACTGATGTACAATCTAATGTGGATTTCTTGCCTAAATTTAGAGAGTAAAAGGGTTGCTTTAAGTGGGATAGGAAGCCCTTAAGAAACACTCATAATGGGTCATCAGTGGTGGAGGGAACCATTCCAAAGCAGTGCCAGCACCCATCTAACTAACGTCAGAGATGTCTGACAGACTAAGACAGGGCTCAAAAGGTGAATGCCCCTGGGGACTCCAGTCAGGACCTAGAATTTTTCCAGGATGCCTCAAGCATCACTCGGGTCACTTGATAAACCTTCCACTATTCAAAGTCCTCCTCTCTTTTCCAGACCACTATGGGCAACTCTTCATCTATTCCACCTGATTCCACTATGGACAACCCTCCATCTATTCCACCTGATTCCCTGCTTGGCTGCATCCTCCACCACTGGAATCAATTTGACCCTGATAATCTAAAGAGAAAACTTATATATATATATATTTTTTTTTTTCTGCAATGCTGTTTGGCCCAATTATGAGCTGCCCAGCCTGGAACAATGAGCAGTCAATGGTAGCCTTAATTATGACACCATCCTGCAATCAGATCTATTTTGCAAGATGCACGGCAAATGGTCCAAAATCCCATATGTACAGACCTTCATGGCCCTATACCAAAACCTAACAATCTGCAAAACTCCCAGAACCAGCCCCCCAAGGGAAAGTCCTAAGGCAGAACTAGATATTACAGATGACCTCCTTTTACAAGGGCTACCTGTCTCTCAGGGTGAACAGCATCTGCCTCCATACAGCCCCTTGCCAAGTGCTCTTGAGGCTAAACCCCAAACAGTGGGAACCCTACTAAGTCCCCCTCACACTCAAAGGAGAACATCGTATTAACTCTCCCTGCAGCCCTGTTACTCCTTGGGAAGTAGCAAGAGCTGAGGGGCCAGTCCTAGTGCAGGTCCCTTCTCTATAACTGATATACAACAATGTAAGGAAAAGCTAGAAAGCTATTTCAAGAATCCCAGGAAATTTGCGGAAGCTTTCCAAACTTTGGCCTTAGCCGTTGCTCTCTCATGGAGAGATGTTCAATTCATTCTAGCAACCTGTTGCACCCCCTTGGAAAAAAAGATGAAATCTTTGAGGCCGCCCATGGGGAAGCAGATGATTTATTCATCTGAATCCTTTAGGGCAATCACTTGGGCCCAAACACAGTCTCCACTATTGATCCTAATTGGGACTATAATACCCCCATGGGAATGAACAACCGGGCTAAATTTCTTGAGGCTTTCCTTGGAGGAATGAGAAAGGGAATAACTAAGGCAGTAAATAATGTAAATTAAGGGGGGTTACACAAGCCAAGGAGGACAATCCAGCCATGGACTTATGGCAGGCTGGAGGAAGTCTTTACAAAATATACTACTCTGGACTCTTCTTTTTCCAAAGGCAAAATATTAATGGCACAGCATTTCATTAGCCAATCCACCACGGACATTAGACTTAAGCTCCAAAAGCTACTGATGGGGCCACGCAGTAATCAAAATCAGGTTTTTGATACTGCTGTTATGGTGTATAACAATTGTGACCTGGAGGAAGGAAAACAGGAACAGAGTGAAGAAAAATGGCAGGCAAAAATTATGGCAGCCATCATTGGCAATACCCTGAATGCCCAAAGAGCAGCTAAGGGAAACCTGAAGGGCCATAATGATAATGCCATCAAAGGCTCTTGCTTCAAATGCAAGAACAATGAGCATTGGGCAAAGGACTGTACTAAGCCCTCACCAGGCCCCTGTCAAAAATGTGAGGGCACCAGTTACAAACCCTGTCACTGGAGGATTGACTGCCCCTGCTCCCACCAAGGGGTTCAGTCAGGCAAAACTCTAGCAGTGCAAAAGCAGGAATTAGATGAAGACTGAAGACCGAAGGGGCCTGGGGTCTTCCTCACTGCCCCTGTCCAGGAACATTGTAATTACTACTGAGGAGCCCCAGGTAATTCTGGATGTCATGGGTACCCAAATTCAGTTGTTTTTTTTTTTGATACAGAAGCAAATTACTCTGTTTTCACTGCTTTTGCAGAAAGCTTTCCTCCCAGTTCATGACCATTACAGGAATGGAAGGAAAGCCGCAAACAAGATTCTTTACTCCTCCTTTGATTTGTCAATTTGAGAAACAAATCTTACAACAGGAATTTCTAGTAGTACCAAACTCTCCAATCCCCCTGTTGGGAAGAGATATTATGGTTAAAATAGGGGCACTGCTACAATGTAAGCATCACCTGGCAGAATTGCTAACAGGCAAAATACAGCCAAAGTCCCAGATTACATTAGTAAACAGGCTAACCCACTGGCATGGTATACTGGAAATCTAGGGAAGCCTAAAATAGCAGTGCCAGTCAAAATACGCTTAAAGACCCCAGCTATTTTCCCAATCAAAAACAATACCTAATTAAGCTGGAAGCAAGAAAAGGCCTAGCACCCAGAGGTGAGGTATTACTTACCCATCGACTCTTAAAACCCTGCAATTCTCCTTGCAAGGACCCCATCTTACCCATTCTAAAGCCTTTGGAAGAATATTGAAGGCTTATTACATGTTAGTACAGGACCTCAGAATAATTAATGAGGCTATTATCCCTGTACACACATTGGTGGCAAATCCATATACCCTCCTGGCTCAGGTGCCAAAAGGTTCTCAGTTCTAGACCTAAAAGATGCTTTCTTCTCCATTCCCTCTGGCACCAGAGTCCTAATACCTTTTCACCTTTGAATGGAAAAATCCTAATACCGGAGGAAAACAACAATACACTTGGACAGTGCTCCCTCAAGGTTTTTGGGACAGGCCCCCTTTCTATGCTTGGGCCTTAGAGAGGGATCTAAGGGATCTGCAATTGGAGAATGGGAGTATATTCCAGTACATGGATGACCTTCTTGTGCGTAGCCCAACCAAGGAAGCTTCTGAACAAAATACTACAAAAACTTTTAATTTCCTGGCAGACAGGGGATACAAAGTGTCCAAAAGGAAGGCTTAGAATAACCTTCAACAGGTCCAATATTTAAGGTATGTCTTAACACCCAGAGCCTGGCAAATATCCCCAGAACGAGTGCAAGCCATATGTGGTTTGGGACCTCCCCATACCAAGCAACAGCTTTGTTCTTTTGGGGGAATAGCCAGGTTTTGCAGAATATGGGCACCAAATTTTGGGATCATAGTAAAGCCCCTGTATGAAGCAACAAGGGGGCCTGAAAATGAGCTAATGGAATGGACCTCGGAAATGAGAGAAACCTTTGCCAAGTTAAAAATAGGCTCTCACCCAGCTTCCGCTCTTGGCATCCAAGGCCTAACTAAGCCCTTCTCCTTGTATGTAGCAGAGAGGAAAGGCATAGCTGTAGTAGTACTAGCCCAGAAATTAGGATCAGAACACAGATCAACTGCCTACTTTTCAAAAAAGCTGGATGGAGTGGCCTCGGGATGGCCAAGTTTCCCGTGGGCAATCCCAGCCACTGGTATTTTAGTGGAAGGAGCCACTGAAGTCACCCTAGGTCAACTACCAGAAGTTCTAACCCCTCATCAGGTGAAGTCAGTCTTAGAAATAAAAGGATACCTCTAGATGATGGAGGGAAGTTTAACCTAATACCATGCCACACTCTTAGAAAACCCAGATGTAACCCTTGAAACCTGTAGCACCTTGAATCCAGCTCTGTTTCTGCCCACAGGCCCAGTAACTGATCATTCCTGCGAGCAGGTCATTGCACATACATTCATATGTTAGCCAGCCTAATTTAAAAGACCAACTTCTCCCAGATTCTGAGGATAACTGGTTTACAGACGGCAGTAGTTTCATGTCAAATAGGGAGCACTGGAGCTGGATACACAACAGTAAATCGTAGTACAATTGAAGCCCAGACACTGCCCCCTGGCACATTAGCACAAAAGGCTGAATTCATTACTCTTACCTGAGCATTAATGTTGGGACAAGGTAAAAAGCTTAACATCTATACAGATTCTAAATATACATTCCCTGTGGTTCATGCTCATGCTACAATCTGGAAGAAAAGGGGACTACTAACTAGCAAACACTCTCCTATAAAGCATGGGCCTGAAATTCTTCAGCTATTAAAAGCAGTACACCTGCCAAAGGCCATAGCTATAATTCATTGTAGGGGACTTAACGCCTATAGCACAAGGGAACAGCAAGTCTGACAGAGAAGCCAAAGGCACAACCTTCAGGGTGCAATCCCAACAGGAACAGCTAATACAGGAGCAAGGGGAACAAAAACAAGGATCCTGGTGGTACATGGGATCACAAGTATATCTCCCTCAAACAGCCCAATGGAGAATTATAAAAACCCTGCCTGACTCTTTCCATATAGGGAGAGATGCTACCTTGGCCATGGTTAACAGGCTCTTCACTGGGCCTAACTTAGCTTCGGTGGTTAAGCAGGTCTGTCAAGCCTGCTCATTGTGTGCACTTAACAACTTAGGAAACAAAATGCCTCCTCTAATAGAACCAGTCCAGAGGAGAGGAGCTTATCCAGGGGAATATTGGAAATTAGACTTCACCCATATGCCAGCTTTCAGAGGATATGTTTTTGTTAGTGCTAATAGATAACTTTACTGGTTGGGTCAAAGTTTACTCTAACAGAACAGAGAAGGTAATGAGGTTATAAAGGTCCTCTTAAGAGAAATAACCCCCAGTTTGGATTAACTCAGAGACTCCAAAGTGATAAAGGCATGTCCTTTATCTCCCAAATGACTCATGGGGTTGCTAAGGCTCTCAGAATCAAATACTATTTACATTCAGCATGGAGGCTTCAATCCTCTGGAAAAGTAGAAAGGACTATCCAAACTCTAAAGTGAGTGTTAGCTAAGCATTGTCAGGAAACATAAAAAACGTGGTTCAGCTTACTGTCTGTAGCCCTCTTAAGGATCCATAATACCCCTAGAGCAAAAATTAATATAAGCCTATAAGAAATGTTATCTGAAGCCCTTTCTAAATTAATGATTCAATTACTGATCCAGAAACAGCCAGTTTAGTAAAATACCTAGTTAACCTAGGAAAATTTCAGCAGGTTTTACAAAAGTTTGAAACTCAAAGGCTCTCCACACCAGGAACTAACCAGCAACCCTAAATCAGGCCAAGAGATGAAAACATGGAAAAAGAGATCACCTGCTCAACAATTACAACCCAAATGGAAGGCACCATTTTCAGTAATATTGGCCATGCCTTCTGCAAAGTACTAAGGTTAGATGGTTGGATACACCTTTCAAGGATCATGTCTGCGATACCTGAAGCCCCGGACCTGGAACCTGAAGCTCCCATCAGCCACTACACCTGTGAACTTGTGAAAGACCCGAAGTTCCTGTTTAGAAGACAGCCAAAAGATAAGTAAATGCCCACCAACTTTCCTTGGTGTCTTTGTTGCATAGTTACTGTAGGCTGGATAATAGTAGCCATTTTTTTTGTATTTTTTATAGTTCATTGCCTTTTCCAGATGGATGGAACCACTTCCTTTGTACTAACTAAGCAGAATGTTTTAATTCAGTTATATAACAAACATTCCTTACAGCATAAGTATCCAGCCCATGAAGTTCCCATTAAATCTTTTAACCAAATTTATTTCCTCTCACCTAGAGACCATCAAGCTTCAGATTATCATGTGACAGGGCTTCCAGCCAGTTTCAGGTGCACAGACACCATCTTAGCCATCAAGAAGCTACCCTGTCTTCATTAGACAGAGCAGAATGAGAATTCCATGATCCCCAATAGGTATGGACTAAGCCCCAAGTCAGCATGAAGCAGTTACAGAAGAAAGACCATCGGTCCTTCTGCTCCCCATAAAGATTTATGGGGATTGTGTCTCTCAGGGGGGAAATGAGGCAAGAGAATAAGGTCTGGAGGCAGGGAACCTAAGGCCAATTCACAACGACTTCCTGGAACTAAATCAAAAGGAAAACCCCAACTTCTCATGCCCAAGGAACATGAGGACCAGTGGCTACTTACTCCCTTTGCAACCCCCCTCGCTTTCTGCATGGCAGATGAAAAATTGAAAGTACCTCTGATTTGTCCCCTCCCACAACCAATCAGACTGATCGTGGGCCACTACTTCATTTACATAGGGTGTACACCAAGTAACCCATGGAAAACCTTTAGAGGGTATTTAAACCCTAGAAAATTCTGTAACCAGGGCTCTTGAGCCACTTGCTCAAGCCTGCTCCCACCCTGGGAAGTGTACTTTCATTTTCAATAAATTTCTGCTTTTGTCATTTCATTCCTTCCTTGTTTTGTTTGTGCATTTTGTCCAATTCTTTGTTCAAAACACCAAGAACCTGGACAACTTGTAGTCAAGACCCTCCACCGATAACATCTGTATTACAGAATCCTGATGCTCATTTCATCATGTCTCATTTGACTACTCCTCACTTACTTCCCTCTAAGACAGGAGAGGCTATAGATACAGATGCCACCTCTTTCTCGGCAAAATGAAGATATTCCCACATCTTTCTCTATGATTCTCTTGTGGGGAGCCCAGGTAAATTTCTATCCTTCATTGATGTCCGTGCCCTTTGTCTAATAGAAATGTAGTCTCAAATTTCAGTCAAATGTATACTTTCCTTATTTACGAAAGGCTTTGTCTGTGTTTTCTTGCAAGAAGTTGCCAGGAAGGAATATGGGCTGTGCACTATGAAAGATCTGAAATCAAGTGTGTCTCTACCACTTGCCAGTCATCAATGTAAACTTGAAAAATTTTAGTTAACTTCTCCAGGACTGTTTTGTGTTTAGTTTTGTTCTGTCTTGTTTTTCATCTATGTTATTGGGATAATAAATACCTTTTAGTTTTATGGAGGTTAACGCAGATCATAAAGGATGATCTGCCTTCTAGACAGTGAGAAGGTCAACAGATATTAGTGCCTTTCAGGTCTTCCCTAGGACAGAGCACTAGAGCTCTGGCCTTCGCAGCAACTCCCACCATCAACCCAGGAAGACTCTACCTAACCTCTGCCATGCCAAAACAGTTTGGTTATAACATAACTTTTACATTAGCAAATGTATCAAATAAGATCATGATTATACTTCTAGAGTCGTCTTCTATAGTTATCTTCCTTCTTCTCTTAAAGCCATTATTCTAATATATTTCAATATTAAGAGACTTGAATGCCATCTATGCATAAATTTGTCTATACTTCTTGAGAGCAGACTTAAACAAAATACTAATGAACATCTTTTACAACAGATTCCAAATTTATAAATTTACTACTATTTAGCCTGGCAATGAACATTATCTCAAACACCAACTTTAACCATTTATTTACATTTTAATTATGTGTTCTTAATTTTTAGTGATGCCTATGAAGATTATAAAAATTCAGGGTTTCCTTTTATTAGTACATTATTAGAACATGACTTCTTTATTAAGAAACAAATGGGAATTTTAAAAATATCTATGTTAACTTTATTGATTTACTATTAAAATTGGAAAAGTAGTATTCTTGAAGACTATTTCCTTCACATACATATTTTAACCAAAGGCAGGAACAGAAGCTTACCCTTTGCCTTTGTGTTGGGCATAAAGATGGCAAAGGCTGCATTAATGCAGGAAGAAAATGCATAAATCAGCCCAAAGGAATTAGGATGTAGTAGCAATACACACATATCAAAAAAAAAAAAAAAAAAGCCTTTACAAAGTTCTGAATTTACCACCAATAATTAGAGAAATGTAGCAAACACAACAAAATTTGAGCTAACTCACATTATTTTTGACATAAGAGAAAAAAGGAAAAAATAATTTCAAACCATTGCAGCAGTTTGCTACAAATTCTCTTCCCTTCTCTCACAGTCTCTCTCCTTTTTAACATGTCTTTACCTTTCCTTAAGTAATCTTGCTGAGATATTTAACTTGTTTTTGAAAATATTTTTTTTCTTAAATGTTTTTCAAAATTTAAGTGACTCAAAGTAGTGTCATAAGATTATTTTCTATAGGAGTTGTGAAAGCTCACAAAGGAGAACAGCATGAGTAATTCCTTGCTACTAAAATTATAGTCACTGGACCATTTTATTGCCAGTACCTGGGAGCATGTTATCAATGTAGTATCTCAGGCCCTATCTTTGTCTGCACTTTATGGTTTTAAGAAGGACTGATATAGTAGCAAAAGAAGGGACTAAATGGAAATATCAATTTTCCTTCTTACTAGTTACGTGATCTTCCACAAGGTACTTAACCTCTCTGAGCATGATTCCTTATCCCTGAAGTGGAATGATGAAAATATTTTGCTTCACAAGGTTATGGTAAAGATTAAACAAAAAGCATATATTTTATAGTACAGTCTCTAGCACATGGAAGTGTTTCAATAAATGTTAGTTCCTTGTTTATATTTAATTTTAGAGAAAGCATGAAATAGTAGAAATATTAGAGCCTTTGAGTTAAGCTCACTCACAGTGAGCTTAACCACCACCAGCATGTCATTTTATTCTGTTTAAAACTCAAATGCTTGATCTGCATGGATGATGATGGTGGTAGGAGAGCTGTGGGGCTCAAATGGGTTAATATACATTATATATATGTATATAACAGATACTTTGTACAGTGCCTGGTGCATGATAAAGGCACTACAAAAACTATTTGTGTTTATTATTTTGTTATATAAAATATTACAATATTATAGTTTCTTTTCTTAAAACAATGTATTTGCTACATTGGCATTCTATTGATAAGTATTTAAGGATCTATACTTATCCAAAAATACAGCTCACTTTCCAAACTATTGCTATTTATGTCAAAAGTAAAGCCACATGTGGAGAAGGAGAGAAATAGGCACTGGGAAAATAGGGACTAATACTGTTGTTTCTTCTGTTTTGCTGCTCTATAGAGCACATTAGGGATATGGAAATATCATTAAGAATAAAAACAAATTTTGTTTTAAAGATTGCACCATAAAATGTTAACCACAAAGTGCTTTACCTGATGAGTCAAAGGTACTCTGAATAAATTCACATATTCATTTTAGCTGTACATATTTCTTTTTGATATTTTAGGTCATATACCAGATGGCAGAAAACACTTATACACGATGACTTTTCCTAGATGTGCCAGCATATGCTGCTGAATTGCCTATACAGAAAAACCTTGCTCATTGCAAGTCTCCCTGGAAGTATTTCAAACAAAGCACATCAATTAACATTTGTTTATTATGCCACTGTGAGTATATGACAGTTTTTTTATTTCTTTCCCAAATACTCAGGCAACAGTTGGGTTTATATTGAATTTGTCACATGAAGGGCTCATATTTCAGGATCTATTCACAATTGTTTTTCATTTCAAATATGCTTATTAAATATTTCACCTCTCCTCCAACCTCCAAGAGGCATCAAATTTTATGAACAAATATAATAAGAGTTACAGATGATAAAATGTTATCATGGATAAAAAAACATATGAGATGAGAGTAGATAATGTAAAGAAAGTCGATAATGTAGAGAGTAGATAATTTAGTTAGGAATGGATAATTTAGTTAGGAATGGATTTACCACTGTTGTAGATAAATCGAAGTATTAAATTTAAAATTGTATTTATGAAATTCAGTTGTTTATCATATAAATTGCATATTTATTTTAAAGCATAAAAAGAGAAAATTTCTACTTAATTCCATAAACACTGCATTATATTCAATCCTTATGAAATAATTCCTTCCCCTTAGAATGTACAGTAGTTTATAAACAAAGTTATGTTTCACTCTATGTAGGTAATAATATTATTGTATAACAAAAGGTTTTTGAAGCAAAGAATTAGGAAAGGAGAGGAAGAACAAAGGTTGTGCCATAAACATAGTCATTTGCAATAACTTAAATAAGAGTAGAATACGTATTTTCTTTTAGATCTAAGTGTCTGAGGCACAAGCCCTCACTGTATAGGTGTTTGATAGATGTTCCCTAATTCACATGGAGTAGTGAGAGAGTGTCTGAAGACTAATTTTTTAAATCCTTGTGACATGAAAGGTTTTATATAGTTTATACCACAGAACTTGTTCAAAGAGGTACTACAGGAAAATATTATAAGTTGGTTTAAGGGATTTCGGGAATTAGCAAGTTATTAAGGAAATATAAGAACATTTAGAAATAAATAACCCACCTTTGGAGTTTTATTACTGAAAATAAGTGTTGCCACGATACTACCAAAAAAAAAGAAAAAGAGAAAGAGAAAAAAAAACACCTCAAATGTATTATGCTCAAGTTTTACTTGTAAAATTAAGCACAACTGTAAGATGTGCTTAATTCAACTTAAATAGAACATATTCTGACTGTTTTAGGTAAGAAAATATAATTTTAATAAATTCAAAATAATTTTTCTAAAACTTTTTACCTATAGAGCAAAGGTGATCATTTTGTCTTGTTTTGTCTTATTTGTATATGTGGCATTAGTCTGTTTAACTTAGTCTAAGTTTCCATTATTAACTTCCTTAAGAAAGCAGCTTTAAAAAATGTAAATAGATGTTTGTTCTTTTACTCAGCAAAATTACGCATGAGAGGGAAGAAATTTTAGCTGTGAAACTCAGTAAAGTTAGAAAATCACATAGGCCTAACAACTGAGTCACAAGTACAAGGAAGACAGAAAGAAAAACTGAGACCCACACAGGTACTAATCACTTTAGCCTTTTGAATAATTAGGTATGGAATATTTGAGGAAGTTAGTTTAGACATTAGTACTCCTAAGATCTAGTGCAGACATGCTAATACTGCATTTGATACCATCTAATAATAAAATGAAACAAATCTTTTATAACCTAAGTCATAAAAATGATGCAACCCAAAATACTGGCGAGGAGTAAAATAAACACAGCAATTGGACACCTGAATTTATGTTTCATCTATGACAAGATATTATTCTTAGTCAATGAAATCATCCTTCAAAATCAAATTAAATAAAAAGCTTCTCAGCCAGGCACGATGGCTCACACCTGT
The DNA here is from genome assembly GCF_000001405.40 of Homo sapiens. Lineage (NCBI taxonomy): Eukaryota > Metazoa > Chordata > Mammalia > Primates > Hominidae > Homo > Homo sapiens. The sequence goes on from NC_000005.10 coordinate 110,547,742, forward strand.
AATCCTAGAACTTTGGGAGGCTGAGATGGGCAGATCACTTGAGGTCAGGAGCTTGAGACCAGCCTGTCCGGCATGGTGAAATCCAGTCTCTACTAAAAATACAAAAATTAGCCAGGCATGGTGGTGCATGCCTGTAGTCCCGGCTACTCAGGAGTCTGAGGCAGGAGAATAGCTTGAACCCGGGAGGCGAAGGTTGCAGTGAGCTGAGATCACGCCGCTGCACTCCAGCCTGGGTGACACAGCTAGACTCCATCTCCAAAAAAAAAAAAAAAAAAAAGCAAAAAGCAAATAAATGAATACTCACAGAATTCAACATCAGCAGAGGCTCACTGAAAGGCTACAAAAGTGTTTTCCTCGAGCAGAAGAAAAATAATACCACACAGAAGGCCACAGATTCAAGGATTCAAGGAAGAAGAATAAGGAAAGAAACTTTTAAATATGTGGGTAAGCTTGAAGAATACTGATTACATAAAGCAATAATAATATACTGGTGCCTATAAACACACACACACATACACGAACACATCCAGATATACATACACATAATTAAAATGCTAAACAGAATTGCATAAGAAAGTGGGTATAAATATTAAATATTATTAATCATTAATTATTAATATTTAATAATATTTAATAATTAATCTTAAATATTAAAATATTATAAGACATTTTCATGGTCCAGGAAAATATAAAATTTATTTACATTAAATTTTAATAATTCAAGAATTTATTTTGTAAAATCAGAGGTAACCAGTAACAGTAAAATAATGTGTAACCACCAAACGAGTAAAGGGGGCGGGGTGGAATGGTATAATTAAAAAAACAAAATCTTTTCCCAAAAGGCAAATATGAGACTATTTTAAAAGAACAAGAAACAGGTGTCATCTATAGAATAGTAAATAACAAAACATAGAAATATATACAAATATATTGCAGTGACAGTAAATGTAAATAAACTGTTTCAATTTGAAGACAGTAATTTTCAGGTTAAAAAAATACCACTTCTCCTTAGAGACATACATATAAGAATTCAGGGAGCATAAAATTAAAAGATGGAAATAGATATACCATATTAACATGAACCCTAATCAAAAGAGATCTGTTGTAGTTATATTTATTCACAACAGAAAAGGTTGACTTTTAATTTAAAAATCATAATGATTATAAAGTGTAGTGATTGATCATAATAAAATTGAACTAAAATCAAACAATATAAATGTAACAATAAAAGTCTCAATATATGTAACACTAAGCCATAGGTTATCTTCTAAACAATGTATGGTTTAAATAGAGATAACAGAAATTAGAAAAGTTTTTGAACTAAATGATAATTAAAATATTGCTTATCACACTTTTTAGGATATTACTAAAATTACATGTGAAAGTAAATTAATAGTGTACAAAACACATATTAGAAAAGGAAAATACACAAATCTATGACAAGGAATAAAGTTCAATAATTTTAGGAAAATAATAATCCATTAAATGCAAGGAAATTAGCAGAAGAAAATAATAAACCTAATATCACATATGAAAAAAAGAGAGAAAACACAGTATCAAGAGAATCAAAAGTTGATTTTTAAGACTGAGAGGCCAAGCAGAGTGGCTCAGGCCTGTAATCCCAGTGTTTTGAGGGGCTGAGGTGGGATGGTGGCTTGAGCTCAGAAATGTGAGACCAGCCTGGGCAATACAGTGAGATCCAATCTCTACAAAAAGTTAACAAATAAGCTGGGCATGATGGCCTGCATGTGCAGTCTCAGCTACTCGGGAGGCTGAGACAGTAGAGTCGCTTGAGCACAGGGTATAGTGAGTCATGATCACACCACTGCACTCTAGCATAGGCAACAGCGCAAGTCCCTGTCTCAAAAAAAAAAAAAAAAAAAAAAAAAGACTGAGAAGTTCATAAGGCCTTGGAATGACAGATTAAAATAAGAACAAAGATGAAAATAAGAAGGGTTAGGAATTAGCCAGTGGATATCACACCAGATTTTAAAGACATTAAAAAGATCATAGAAAAATAGAAGCAATTTTAGAAAACATCTTTCCGAATTTAATTCCTAGAAAGAAAACATACCAATACAAAATTAGTCCACAATTTAAAATCTTCCCCAAAATATCCATAAGCAAATAGCTTCACTTGTGAATTCTACAAAACTTATAAGAAGAAATAATGACAAAAATAGAAACCTCTTCCAGAGTATTAAAAAAATATAATTTCCCAATTCACTTCATTAGCCAAGAATAACTTTCATACAAAACCTTAACAATATAGGAAAGAAATATTATGGAACAATCACATGCATGAATACAAATGCAAAATCTTAAAGTATTATTAAAGCAAATAGAGCAATATTTACATCTTCACCAAGTTATTTTTATTCCAGGAATGCAATGATTGGTCAACAAAAGAAAATCAAACAATATAGTTTACAACAGTAACAGAATTATGGAAAAATCTGTCAATCATACCAAATGATGCATGAAATGTATTTGGTAAAATTCTATATCAATTCATAATAAAAGTTCTTGTTAAACTTGGAAAAATTGAGTTTTAATTTATGGGAGGTATTTCTAAAAATATGCAATGTGAAAATGTTGAAAGCTGTCCCTTATGAGACTCACGTAAAACATACATGTCCAGCATCATCATTCAGTCCTGTACTAAAAGTGGCTAAACAGTAAAATAAGATAAGAAAATGTAAAAAAGTTTATGATGCTCACAAAAAAACATGAATTTTTATGTAAAAAATAAACTTTTGAACTATAAAAACAATGTAATAAGATTGGTGGGTAAAAAATTAACACACAAAACTAAATTATGTTTATATAAACCAGAACAAATTCTATATATGCATATATTTGTAAGCATATGATATATATTTTATAATAAAATAGATATATCAAACAGCTAGAAATATACAAAACATTATTGATAGAAATTGGGAAATACCTTAAAAAGTGGCAGGATGTAAATATCCATGAATTACCTATTATATATTATAATGATATGTATCAATTACCGCCAAATAGCTCTCTAGATTCAATGAAACCCCAATAAAAATCCAAGTGGACTTGCTTTTTAAAAAATGGAACTTGACAAGTTGATTTTAAAAAATATATATGGAAATGTTACAGTAAAAAAAAAAAAAAAGTTCAGATAATCTAGAACAGGGTTTGGCAAACTACCACCCACAGGCCAAATCCAGCCATTTTTTTTTTTTCACAGCCTAAGAGCTAAGAATGATTTTTACATTTATAAATGGTTACAGTTTAAATGGTTTTAAAAGTACCAACATAATAACTTGGATTTTGCCTCTGAGCCCACAATGCCTAAAACATTTACTATTTTGCCTCTTAAGAAAAAGCTTGCCAGCCCCTAATCTAGAATATGAATAAGCCTTGAACACTTACTCAGTGAAATGTGTTTTTCAAGCATAAAAGGCAGAGTGTAAAGTCTAACTTTTTGTTTGTTTGTTTGTTTGTTTTTGTTTGTTTGTTTTGAGACAGTGTCTCACTCTGTTGGCCAGGCTGGAGTGCAGTGGCCCAATCTTGGCTCACTGCAACCTCTGCCCTCCGAGTTCAAGCAATTCTCTTGCCTCAGCCTCCCAGTAGATGGGATTACAGGCACTTGCCACCGCGCCTGGCTAATTTTTTCTTTTTTTTAGTAGAGATGGGGTTTCACCATCTTGGCCAGGATGGTCTTGAACTCCTGACCTCGTGATCCACCCGCCTCAGCCTCCCAAAGTGCTGGGATTATAGGCATGAGCCACCGCGCCAGGACACGTCTAACATTTTTGTAATAGAAATCTCAGAGAAAATAAGAGACAATGGAGTAGAAGTAGTATTTGAAAACTTCATTGCAAAGAATTTTCCAGAACTGATGAAAAAATATCAACCCACAGTATTCACATACCCTGCAAATGTTGAGCAATAAAAATACAAGGGGAACTACATCGGATTTATCTTATTAACATTTCTAAAAGCCGAATAGAGAAATCCTAAAACCAGAGACATGAAAAAATACAGTAATTTAAAATGAAGAACTATTGGGCTGACAATTGATTTCTCAACAGAAATGATAGAAGCCAAATAAATGACTTTACATTTATAAATACTAAAAATATGTCAACCTAGAATTCTATATGCATAAGTATGCATATAGAAATAAACACAATTTTTTCAGCAAACCAAAAATAAAAATTTAATGGCCAGGCTACCTGCACAGATTAAAAAACAAAAGTACTGAATTAGGTTCATCACATAGAAGGAAATTGAGCATACATAGTGGCATAAAAATACAGAAAGAAATGAAGAATAAGATAATAACAAAATATATTTTGGCTTGTCTAAAACAATAATAATGTTTAGAGTAGTAAAAATACAAGTAGAATTAAAATGCATAAAACAATAAATGTTCTAAAGTTCCAGAATTTTCAAGTAAGTGGTAAAAGTAATAATTTAGGTTAGCCTCTAATAAATTAAGGAGGCATATTGCAATTCTGAAAATAGCCACAATATATATTTAGAGTAACGTATTACTAACTAATAGAGGAAAAAATACAATGATAAAAATATTTGATTAATACAAGAAAATAAGGCTTTCTGAAAAATGCCCTAGATAAAATAAAATAGGTTGGTTAAATAATAAGACGTAATATGCATCAAAAATTACATTACATGTAAATATACAAGTAAAAGGTGAAGATTGTCTTTCAACTATTGTGGTTAAAAATATCATGCTTAAAAGAAGCATACCTTATATAAAGACACAAAAAGTTTAAGATCAAACAATGCAAAAATACATTTCATGGAAATGTTAATCCACAGGCAGCTAATGTACATATACTAATATGAAAAAGATCAGGCTTTAATATAAGAAGCATTGGTAGAAATAATAAGGAAAATTTCATAATAATAAGGACTCAAGCTTATTCAAGCTTATATATTCATATTCAAGAGAAATATGAAACCTATTTTAAATCTTCATACACTTAATGTATATCTGCAAATATATAATTTATCATTAAACATAATTAAGAGAATGAAAACCTATTCATGCATAAATCTTTGCCAGAGCCTATGTCCAGAATGGTATTCCCTAGGCTTTCTGCTAGGGTTTTTATAGCTTTTGGTCTCACATTTAAGTCTCTAATTAATCTTGAGTTAATTTTTGTGTATGGTATAAGGAAGGGGTCCAGTTTCAGTCTTCTGCATATAGCTAGCCAGTGATCCCAGCACCACTTATTGAATAGGGAACCCCTTCCTCATTGTTATTGTCAACTTTATCAAAGATCAGATGGTTGTAGGTATGCAGTTTTATTTCTAGGTTCTCTATCTTGTTCCATTGGTCTATGTGTCTGTTTTTGTACCAGTACCATGCTGTTTTGGTTACTGTAGCCTTGTAGTATAGTTTGTAGTTGGGTAGTGTAATCCCTCTGGCTTTGTTTTCTTTAGGATTGCTTTGGCTATTCTGGCTCTTTTATGGTTCCATATGAATTTGAGAACTTTTTTTTCTAATTCTGTGAAAAAATATTGGTAGTTCAATAGGAATAACATTCAATATGCATATTGCTTTGGGCAGTATGGCCATTTAAACATTATTGATTCATTGTATCCATGAGTGTGAAATGCTTTGCCATTCATCTCATTTCTGATTTCTTTCAGCAGTCTTTTGTAATTCTTGTTGTAGATATCTTTTTTTCCCTGTTGAGCTGCATTCCTTTTCATTTTATTCTTTTTGTGACTATTGTGAATGGTATTGCATCCTCATTTGTCTTTTAGCTTAGATATTATTGGTGTTTAGGAATGCTAGTGATTTTTGTACACTGATTTTGTATCCTGAAACTTTGCTGAAGTACTTTATGAGATCTAAAAGTCCTTGGAAATAGACTATGGGGTTTTCTAGATATAGAGTCATATCATCTTATAAGTAATTTAACTTTTTCTTTTCCTATTTGGATGGCTTTATTTCATGTCTTGCCTGATTGCTCTGGTTAGGACTTCCAGTATGATGTTGCATAGCAGTAGTGACAGTGGGCATCCTTGTCTTGTTTTGTTTCTCAAGGGGAATGCTTTCAGGTAAATTGTTCAATATAATGTTAGCTGTGGGTTTGTCATAGATGACTCTTATTTTGAGGTATGTGCTTCAATTCCTTGTTTGTTGAGGGTTCCTAACATGAAGAGATGTTGAATTTTATTGAATGTCTTTTCTGCATCTATTAAGATGATAATGTGGTTTTTGTTTTTAGTTCTGTTTATGTGATGAATCACATTTATTGTTTTGCGTATGTTGAATCGATCTTCCATCCCAGGAATAAAGCTGCAATGGTTAATACTGAGTGTCAACTTGATTGGATTGAAGGATACAAAGTATTGATCCTGGGTGTGTCTGTGAGGGTGTTGCCAAAGGAGATTAACATTTGAGTCAGTGGGCTGAGAAAGGCAGACCCACCCTTAATCTGGGTGAGCACAATCTAATCAGCTGCCAACACGGCTAGAATATAAGCAGGCAGAAAAATGTGAAAAGAGAGACTGACCTAGCCTCCCAGACTACATCTTTCTCCTGTGCTGGATGCTTTCTGCCCCCGACCCCCTGCTACTCCAAGTTCTTCAGTTTTGGAACTCAGACTGACTCTCCTTGTTCCTCAGCCTACAGGTGGCCTGTTGTGGGACCTTGTGATCATGTGAGTTAATACTTAATAAACTGCCTTTTAGATACATATATATGTATTCCATTAGGTCTTTCCCTCTAGAGAACCCTCACTAATACAAAAACCTACTTGATCATAGTGTGTTGTCTTTTTGATGTGCTAGGATTGTATTTTGTTGAAGACTTTGGGTCAATGTTTATCCGGGATATTGGCCTGAGGTTTTCTTTTCCTGTTTGTTTTTGCCAGGTTTTGGTATCACAATGATGCTGGCCTCATTCTATGGAATGAGGTAAAGAGGAGTACTTCCTCCTCAATTTTTTGGAATAGTTTCAATATGATTGATACCTGCTCTTCTTTATACATCTGGTATAATTAGGCTGTGAATCCATCTGGTCTAAGGCTTTTTGTAGTTGTCAGGTTATTTATTACTGATTCAATTTCATAACTTATTATTGGTCTCTGTAGGGTTTTGATTTCTTCCTGGTTCAACCTTGGGAGGTTATGTGTTTCCAGGAATTTATCTATTCCTTCTAGGTTTTCTAGTTTGTGCGCATAGAGGTTTTGTTGATCATTTGTATGGATTTTTGAGGTTTTATTTGGGGAAGGCTTGCATCTTCATTTCATTCAGTTCAGCTCTTATTTTGGTTATTTTCTTCTACTAGCTTTAAGGTTGGTTTGCTCTTGTTTTTCTAGTTCCTCTTGGTGTAATGTTAGCTTGTTAATTTGAGATCTTTTAAACATTTTCATGTGGGTGTTTAGTGCTATAAACTTTCCTGTTAACACTGCTTTAGCTATGTTCTAGAGATTCTGGTATGTTGTATCTTTGTTTTCATAAGTCTTGAAAAATTTATTGATATCTGCTTTAATTTCATTGTTCACCCAAAAATCATTTAGGAGCAGGTTGCTTAATTTACATGTAATTGTATGGTTTTGAGAGATTTTCTTGGTATTGATATCCATTTTTATTGTCCAAGAGTATAATTGGTATGATTTTGTACTTTTAATTTGTTGAGAATTGCTTTATGGCCAAGCATCTTGTCTATTTTAGAATATGTGCAATATGCAGATAAGAAGAATGTATATTCTGGTGTTGTTTGAGGGAGTGCTCTGTAGATTTCTGTTAGGTCCTTTTGGTAAAGTGTCAAGTTTAGGTCCTGAATATTTTTGTTAGTTTTCTGCCTTGATGATCTCTCTGTCAGTGGAGTGTTGAAGTCTCTCACTATTATTATGTGGTTATGTAAGTCTTTTTGTAGGTCTTTAAGAACTTGTTTTATGAATCTGGGTGCAAGAGTGTTGGGTAAATAGGTATTTAGGATGGTTAAGTCTTCTTGTTGAATTGATCCCTTTATAATTACATAATGCCCTTCTTTTCCTTTTTATCAGTGTTGGTTTAAAATCCGTTTTGCCTGAAATTAGAATAGCAACCCCTGCTCTTTTTATTTTCGTATTGCTTCATAGGCCTTCCTCCATCCTTTCACTTTGAACCTATAGGTATCCTTGCACGTGAGATCGGTCTGTTGAAGACAGGTCTTTCTTCTTTATCCAACCTGCCACTTTGTACTTTTTAAGTGGGGTAGTTAGTCCATTTAAATTCAAGATTAATATTGATATATGTGGATTTGATCCTGTCATTGTGTGTTAGCCAGTTGTTCTGTAGTCTTGATAGTGTTGTTGCTTTATGGCGTAAATGATCTAAGTACTTAAGTGCATTTTTGTAGTGCCCAGTAACAGTCTTTCATTTCCATGTTTAGCACTCCCTTGAGGACTTCTTGTAAGGCAGGTCTGGTGGCAACAAATTCCCTTAGTATTCGCTTGTTTGAAAATGATTTTATTTCTCCTTCACTTATGAAGATTAGTTTGGTTAGATATGAAACTCTTGGTTGGAATTTCCTTCCTTCCCTTCCTTCTCCTCCTTCCTTCCTTTCTTCTTTCCTTCCTCCCTTTCCTTCCTCCCTTCCCTTCCCTTCCCCTTCCTTCCTTCCTTCCTTTCTTTCTTTCCTTCTTTCTTTCTTTCAGGAGGGCATCCCAATCTGTCACTCAGGCTGGAGTGCAGTAGTACAATCTTGGCTCACTGCAACCTCTGCCTCCCAGAATCAAGCAATCCTCCCACCATAGCCTCCTGAGTAGTTCAGACCACAGGCATGCACCACCACGCCCAGCTAATATTTTGTATTTGGAGTAGAGACAGAGTTTTGCATTGTTGCCCAGGCTGGTCTTGAACTCGAGCTCCGGTGATCCACCCAACTCAGCCTCCCACAGTGCTGGGATTACAAGCCCGACAGAATCTTGTTTCTTTTAGGATGCAGAATATAGGTCCCCAATTTCTTCTGGCTTGTAGGGTTTCTGCTGAAAGGTCTGCTGTTAGTCTGATGAGGTTCCCTTTGTAAGTGACCTGACTCTTCTTTCCTGCTGCCTTTAACATTTTTTCTTTCACATTGATCTTGGAGTATCTGATAACTATGAGTCTTGATGATGGTCATCTTGTATAGCATCTCACATAGTTGCTCTGAATTTGAATATCATCCTCTCCAGTGAGGTTAAGGACATTTTCATTGGCAATATCTTCAAATATGTTTTCCAAGTTGTTTGTTTGTCTCCCTCTCTTTCAGGGATGCCAATAAGTCATAGATTTGTTCTCTTTACATAATTCCATATTTCTTGGAGGTTTTGTTCATTCTTTGTATTCTCTTTTATATATTTTTATCTGACTGAGTTGACTTGAAGAACTCGTCTTTGAGCTCCAAGATTCTTTTCTCAGCTTGATCTGTTTTGCTGTTAATATTTCTGATTATGTTATGAAATTTTTCTAGTGAGTATCTCAGCTCTATCAGATCAGTTTTGTTCTTTCTTAAAACGGCTATTTCCTCTTTCAGCTCATATATGATTTTACTGAATTCCTTAGATTTCTTAGATAGGATTTCAACTTTCTCCTGAATCTTATTGATCTCCTTGGCCATTCAGATTCTGAATTCTATCTTTGACATTCCAGCCATTTCAGTCTGGTTAAGAACCATTGCTGGAGAGCTAGTGTGGTAATTTGGAGGTAAGAAGACTAATGTTGATCCATTCTCATACTGCTATAACGAAATACCTGAGCTGGATAATTTATAAGGAAAAGAGGTTCAATGGGCTCATGGTTAAGCAGCCTATACAGGAAGCATAGCAGCTTCTGCTTAGACTCTTGGGAGGCTTCAGGCAATTCACAATCATGGTGGAAGGGAAAGGGGAAGCAGGTATATCTTACATGGCTGGAGAAGGAGGAAGAGAGAAAGAGGGGAGGTTCTACACACTTTTAAACAACCAGATCTTGTAAGAACTCTGTCACAAGAACAATACTAGGGGGATGGTGTTAAACTATTAGAAATCTCTTCCATTATCCAATCACCTCCCCCCAGGCCCCATATCTAGCACTGAGGATTACAATTGAACATGAGACTTGGGTGAGGACATAGATCCAAACTATATCAAAGACACTCTGGCTTTTTGAGTTGCCAGAGTTCTTGTACAGGTTCTTTCTTATTTGTGTGGTGTGATGTTTCTTTAATCTTTGAAGTTGCTGTGCTTTGGATGGGCTTTTGCTTTTATATTTTGATTTCCTTGAAGGTTTAACTGTGGTATATGTTTGGTCTCATTAACTGGTTTTGTTTCTGAATTATTTCAGGTAGCCAAAGTACAGATCAGCAATTGTGGGCTGCATGCTCTAACCCTAGGTGGTTGGGACCATGCTCATGCCTTTGTTCTCTAGCTACTTGAAGTTGGGTACCTGCTGTGTTGGAGTGGCCAAAGTGTTTCTGGTTTGGTCTGCTGGCAACATCATTCTGATGGGGTATGCCAGCAGAAGTGCTTCATTGGGGTGGTAGCAGTGGGGCCCACTCTTATGTACCAGTAGCATCAGGGCAGTGATATGGCAAGGTCTGTACATGTACATGTGCACCAATGGTTGTGTGACAGTGCGCATGCCAGAAAATCAGTAGGGAAAAGCTGTAGGTGACAGCATAACCAGCAGAGCAGTAGGGGAAGGCTATAAGTGGGTGTTACTGGAAGCCCATCTGCAGAACTCTCCAATTATTAGGCAGGGTCTTCAGGCAAAGGAGCTATGGTGGTGCCTCAGGGAAGCACCTCAGTTGAGCATCTGAGGCTGCACTGCAAGTGAGTGTGGTAAGGCAGGGACCTGGGGAGAGGCCAGCAGACAAGGGGGTGCTCAGATAAGACTAGCCTCATCCCACAGGTAAGATAGCCCTGTTCTGTACAAGTCCAACAGTCAATAAAGGCCAAAGACACCTAGAGAAGCATGGTAAACTTTGGAGGATGGGCATCCCTGGCCATTTTCCACTACAGCCATTCCCACACCAAATCCACTGCCGAATCCCTTCCAACTCTCCAAGCAACTATCTCTGCCAGCTCAAATGTCCGTGGGGATTATGGGGTCTCCTGCAGCTAGGAATCTACAGGTCCATGGCAAGAGTGGGCTATCCCATGCCTGTTTAACTCACCCCACCTCTAGGGGCCGTCTGGGGCCAGGAATGAGTCCTGTTTCTTGGCAACCCCATGCAGGGTTCCCAGCTTCCTCCCAGCTGCTCAAGGTCTGCATTCTTCCTCTGTCCACTCTTAGATTTTCCAGGGATCTGCTCAGAGTATGCCAACCTTCTCAATGGTCTAGTAACTTGGTGAAAGAAGGTCTTCCTAGCTACATCTAGTCAGCCATTGTGGTTCTTCCCCTTTTCGGACTTTTCTGGGTCAATTGGATAATCACAAAGAAAAAAATATATACAGTTTTACTTTATATTACACAAAAAAAATCAATTTCAGATGAATTGTAAACCTAATCCTAATCTTAACCATTTTTCCCAGCAGATAATATAGAAAGATATCTTTCTGACCATGGGGTAGGAAAATAGTTCTTAAATAGTATACAAGTAAACCCTAATAATAAGGGATAAATTTGATAAAATGAATGGCGTTACAATTTTAAAGCTCTATTCATGAAATTAAATTATTAACAGCATGAAAAGCAACTAAAAAGTAGAAGAAAATATTTTAAAACCAACAAAGAGCTGGTTTATTTTATATATATATTCCCACAAATTAAAAAGTAAAAAATTCCAATTAAAAATGGGACAAAATTTCTAGCAGGCAATTTATACCAAGAGAATATCAAAATGGCCGATAAGCAAACAAAAGGATGCTCAGCTTCATTAGTCACAAGTGAATGCAAATTAAAACTACAATGAAAGCTATTATACATCCATCAGAATGTCTACGTTAAAAAGGCTGAAAATTTTTCAGTATTGGTAAGGATTATGTATTAGTTCCTGGTGTTATGAGAACAAAGTACCACAAAATTTGTGACTTAAAGAACAGAAGTTTATCATGTCACAGTTCTGAGGTTAGGAGTCTGAAATGAAGGTGTCAGTAAGGCTGGTTCTTTCAGAGGGCTTTGAGGAAGAATCATGCCTCTCTTCTAGCTTCTAGTGATGGCTGGCAATACTTGAAATTTCTTGGCTTGTAAATGAATCACTCCAGTCTTTACCTCTGTCTCCACATGGCTCTATCCCTGTGTCTTTGTTTTCACGATTGCCTTCTTATAAAGACACCAATCTTATTGGATTAGGGGCCCATCTACTCCAGTATGACCTTGTCTTAACTAATTACAACTACAATGGCCTTATTTCCAAATATGATTCATATTCTGAAATAGTAGGATTAGGACTATAACATCTCTTTTTGGGAGCTACACAAGTCAACACATAACAGTTGTGAAGCAACTAGAACTTTCAAACACTTTAAAAAGCTATTTGGCATGATCTATTAAGGTTGAATATAGACCTTCCATATGATCCAGTCATTCTCCTCTTCCATACCCAATACTAGATTGGACCATATAAATTACAGTTTTGGACAACAAAAGCCATTTGAATATCAGCCATTTCATATGGGCCAACCAGAAATACATAAACATTTGCATCAGAAGATATTACAAAAATGCTTATAGAATAATTATTCATAATAGCTTGAAATTGAATATATCCTACATGTCTATCAACACAATGATTAGGATAATGTGAAAGGTTCACAGGGAACAAACTGAAAATTTTTCCAACGGCCAGAGCTGGAACAATTTGAGCAATAGCAACAAAAGTAGTGTTGACTAATCATTAAAGAAAGAAGTTATATCCAGAATTTACAAAGATCTCCAAACAATTGATAAAATAGAAAACCCAAGAGAAAAAAAATAATTTTTGAGCTGACAATTCACTAAAGGAGAAAATTTAAATGGTGAATAAAAAGTGAAAATATACTCAACTATATTTGTATTACTGAGAAAATGCAAATTTAAACCACAGTGACTTTTTCACATTATACCAATGAGACTGGCTGTCCAGCAATCCATGCTGAGCCCAGATCTACAGTCAGGTGAGCGCTATGCTACCCAGCTCCAGCCAATAAATCTGAAAAACTAATTTAGCCCTTCAAATCTTCTCATATTTTCATAGCTGGTTATAATCCCAACTTTAATCATCCATTATTTTATTTGTGCATGTGTATTTACCATTTTATTAAAATTATAAAACAACTTATAGAGTGCCATAGGTACTATAGCAGAATAAAACGTAAATGAAGAATCAGAACAAAGAAAAAGTGGTAAGGAAGTATAATGAAGCCAGAAGCAAAATTATTACATAAAATTTATGTAGTAAGAAATGTTAACAATCCTTTTTATATTCTTGTTACCCTTATTAATATTCATTTTTTGCTTTTGTAGATTTTCTTAAAATAACTCAAGAATTTCATACAGGGAATAACTCACTGGGAAGAATGTTTAAGAGCACTGGCTATCAAATTGGCACAAAAGAGTTTGAATTCAAGCACTGCAGATAGCTAGCTATGTATCCATAGTCAAGTTACTTCACCTTGCAATAAAAAAACAAAACTGTTCTCATTTAAAGTTTCAATTTCCTCATCTGTAAAATCAAGACCATAATGTGTGTGTGTGTGTATATGTGTGGGTATATATATATATGTATATATAAAATACGGTTTTATGAGAATTAAATAATTAATGCACATAAAGTGTTTATCAGATGACATACAGTAAATATCAAATCTTAGCAATCATAAGTGTCTTTTTAAACATGATACATAAAAGAAAGAAACAATATTCATATTGAAGAATATAGCAGACTGAAATCCCATTTATGCAGCTTTCTATCAAAAACCCTTTTGTATGTAAAAATATCACCAAAAACTAAGAGGCTTAACACAACCACTTATTTAGCATATAGTTCCCCAGGTCAGCAATTTGAGCTGGGAACAGAGAATGGTTCTACTGGTCTGAGCTGAGTTTATTTTTGTGTCTGTGGTCAGAGTTTAGGTCAGCTGGGGACTGGCTTGGGAGTAAATCAGTTAAAATGGCATGTCTGTTCCACGTTGTCTGTCATCTTCCAGCTGGATAATGCACTTATTGACATGGCAGTTACTGGGTTCCAAGAGAATAAGAGAGGGAAGACCCCAATGTGTAAATATTTTTAAAATATCTCCTTGTATAAGATTTGCCATTGCCTATTATCTAAATCAAGTAATATAGTCAAGCCAAGAATTTGAGTGTAGAGACAATGAGCAAGGTGTGGTCGTACAGAGCACTGAATAAATTGGAAATAATTACTCTAACAACATACCATGAGTTCCAAAGCAATAATTCATTATTTAAAAAAGTTATAGGAAGTCGTACACTTAAGTTTTACCCAACATGAATTACCAAACAAATAAATTCAATTAGAACCAACAATTTTCCCCTACAACTAATTCCTCCACTTAGCATCTCTGTTTCCATGAAACCACCTAAGTCTCCATCACCTTAGCCTGGTAATGCAAACAAACCTTCCAGATTTAATGCCCATGAATGCTCAATCCAAGCTATTTTCCCAACTTGGCAAGTCAACCTACAATGTTCTTTTCACAGTGTTCTTATCTCTGCATGGCTCATGACATTTTCTTATCTGCAAGATGCTCTTTGACCCTGCCACTTTGCACCATGTAATCCAACTTATAATTTAAATTTCCACCTCAAGTACTATTTAATACTTGAAGAGAACAATAATACATTCCTGCTAATACTAAAAAAAAGTTAGGGATCAAACATTTATCTGGGCTCCTACTGAGTGCCATGAACTTTATGAACTTTGATGTAGCTAGCCACATATATTATGTCCTTTTGTATTAGTCTTTGTCTATTTCTGGAGAACGTGCTTTCTGGATGAGACAATAAAGCTTATGTGTAAAGGTTATGTTTTACACTTCTTTGCATCTTGCACAGAATTCAGCTAGGCTGAACAGACACAGTAAATAATAAATATTTATTTCATATTTTTTCTGATTTTGGTGAAAAATTTTATATAATTTTGTACTTTATATATCTGTAGTGTCTTAATATTAAATAAGGGAATTCAAACTAAATTAAGTGATTTTTTCAAAGTCACTAGGTTAAATACTTCATCATTTATGTCCGTAAATCATATAGTCTATTAATAATCCAAATGTCTCTATCTCTAGCTAACTTTTAAATAAAATAGATATAGAGTTAACTGTGTGTTTTAGTTAAGATATTCAATGCAAATTAAACACATTTCTTAAACATATACTATGCCTAAATCAATATAACTGCTTTTAGAAATTTCTGATTTAGATTTGTCTTGAGAAAAGCTAACTTTCCGCCTTCATTTAATATTTAAAATAAATGAAAACACCCTTTAAATGTCTTCTAAGCATTGAAAACAAATTAGCACTGGTAGTGGTTATGTGTTTGTTTATTCGTTAATTCTCAGCGCTGACTACTCAAGTAATGAGGTCTTTGCTTGTATCTAATATCTAAAATATATTTGCTATGTCTGATTGACTTATGAATTTCAAATGTAATTATCTATAGATATTTACTAAAATTTTGAAGAAAAAAGAATATCTTATATCAAATGATTGGCTCTGAAAATGGCATATAAATAGAATTATAATTATAGAAATGATAAATTTGAGTTGACTTAGTTATAGTATAATCCATTTGTGATTTGACAGTAGCATATAAAAATAGTTATAAGACTAGAGAGTAATACAAATAATTGAAAGAATCATGGAAACAGAACAAAAAGAAAAGAATAAGGTTGGGTGAGGTGACTATACGCCATTTTCTATTTCTGTTAGAACTGTTCAAAAATTAGGCTGTAATTTTTTTAAGGTCCAACAAACAGTTTATACAAAATTAGTAATAAGGTTCATAGAGTGCATAAGACTAAAGAGGATTTATTTCCTAAATCCCAATAATGGGGATATTGGGTGATACAGTGACCATCACTGAAACAAATATATTAATTTTCTTTGTTTTTCTTTTACTTTGGGGCTCCTAATCCAAAACCAAGGATAAAGCTGAAGCACAGTTGCATAAAAGCACGTCCATGAAATTCAAGACAATATAATTCAAGTGGGCAGCTCTGTGATTGTCTTTTTCCAAGAAAAAAATAAAATAACTGGAGAAAATGATGAACTTCTTGTGTTTAGATAGTACTCTTTAAGGATTGTTATTCCAAATTGTACTTATGGTTAAAAAGCAAAGAGTTTAAGGTTTTATTTTCTATGAAGTATCTAGAGTATAGATACTTGGGGTTGCCAGTAATGGCCCACCCATATGCTTTGATAATAAACTGGGCAGATTAAATTTATTAATTGCCCTTCCTACCTATTAACATTAATTTGTATCCATAATTATTATCTAAAAACGGGACATTAGGAATATTAGGATAATTGCTCCTGTGAAAGCTAGAAATAACCAGAAATTTTCAATGACAGAAAAAAATATGTATTTCCTGATTATAAACAGATTAACTTGCCTCAAAATAAGACGTAAGAAAAAAAAGTGTTTGTTGGCACTTTGGAATATCATAGGATGCCATATGGATAAAGCATCAATGGAAAAATCATGTGTATTTTATGAAGAATGAATGGCCTATTTCAAAATGGCTTTCTTTGAATATGGAGAAAAATATATACGTTTACTCAATCAGAGCTAGAAAAACCAAGAAGCTGTAAATATTTAAACTTTAACAAAAAGTTTAGTATTGGCAAGTGCAGATTTGCAACATACTGTGTAATGGAAAACTTAAAAGTAAGATAGACCAATAATTTGCCATCCAAATTGAGGAACTTTTGAAAGTGAATTAATTTACGACCAGTAAGAAAGTTGGGACAATAGGCGTGAACCCATGCTAACCTAGGCAAATTGGAATGCTTGGTCAGCATACTCATAAATGTCTCCAAAAGGCATAAACCCAAAACAGAACAATTACTCTTCCCAAAAATCAACTCTTCTCTTCAGGTTGCTTAGTCAGGGGAATGCCAAGTGCTGGACCTGTAGAGATCAGGGTGGCCACCTATTCTCATTGCCTGAAGAGAAAATACCAACCCAATTTTCCCCCACCTATTTTGGAAACAGATAAATAAAGCCATTAGTGAAATCCCTAAACCAGGTCTACTCCATCAATGTTGTAAACTTTTTTCAAGCCTGCTATCTCATAGTTTCATGAAGATTTGCGGCTTGCCTCAGTTAGCACACCTGTAAGAAACCAACACAATAAAATAATTTCATCGGTTTACTTCATAGCTTACTTATCCTCTACTTCCTCCAAATATTTTGCTAAGTTATTTTCACTTTCTTCATCTGAAATTCATCAACATTTGCTGTTGAATTTTTTCTATTAAAAGCAAATGTTCTCCTCTTATAGTTCTAACAGCACAATAATAAATCATAATCTCTAGGGATATTGAGAAGTAATATAACTTAGAGTATAACAAATAACTTTTATCTCAGTATATTTTATTTATTTACCAAAAACTTTAAATGTTTTATAACATGAATTAATTTAGTCATCATAACAAGCCTATGCATTAGATACTATTCTTAGCCCCATTTTCAGAGAAGGAAACTGAAGTAAAAATATGCCCAAGGTCACTTAGATACTCTGTGGTAGAACAGCCATTTGAACCCAGGCAACCTTTGCTGTAGGTTCTGTGCTCTCAAAATCACTCAGCTTTCCTGTCTCTTATGAGATTTTCACTTACTATCGCTGTCTGTGAGCATTAGAAATATCCCTTGGCATACAGTTTTCAAAAATAAGAAAACTAAGGCTGAGGAATAACTTGTTCCAAGTCCCATCTGAATAAAGAGATTGTGTGGAGTTGGAATTTAAACGGAATTATTTTTTCTCTGTTCCCAAGTGTTTAGCTACTCTCACCTACTGCTTTGGTATGACAAACTTGGTTTAAACATTCTCCAGTTATGACCCAACATATATTCAGTTACCTGCTAAATGTGAGTGCACAGGTTAGTGTGTCAATAACAATGTTAAATATTAGCAATATTAATGAATATGTTAGTCTTATCCTTGATATTCATATGAACAAATCTAGTAGGTCACTTGCAAATTTCTCTAAATCTTGTTTGTTAAGATTTTTATATCCTTTCTACAGTCAATTTTCATCATTTATATTTTCTTAGAAAATCATTTATTGCACTATATTTTCATATATATTAGCATACAGTTGTAAATTGATCCTTTTATAATCATTTTCCAATTACTTTCTTATAATCACATTCCCTTTACCCTTCCAGATTTTGTGATTAATAAAAGTTTCCCTCATTTTTCCATTATATTAGCTAGTCTAAAATAGTTTATGTATTATTTTTATTTTACCCAAGGAAACCATTTTAGGATTTATCAGTTCTATGCTTTTTATAGTCTGCTTTTATTTTTCTAAATGTACTTTCAATTTAAACTTTTTCTTATTTTTTACAAACATTTAAAAAATTATTCCCAGAGCTCCTAGGCCTCCAAGACTGTGATGGGAGGGGCTGCTGGGAATGTCTCTGACATGTCCTGGACACATTTTCCCTTTTGTCTTGGTCATTGGCATTTGGCTCCTTGTTACTTATGCAAATTTCTGCTGCAGGCTTGAATTCCTTCCCAAAAAATGGGATGCAGGCTGCAAATTTTTCAAACTTTTATGCTCTGCTTCCTCTTGAAGATTCTGTCACTTAGAATTTTTTTCTGCCAGATGCCCTAAATTATCTCTCTCAAGTTCAAAGTTCCACAGATCTCTAGAGCAGGGGCAAAATGCTGCCAGTCTCTTTGCATAGCAAGAGTGACCTTTACTCCAGTTCCCAACAAGTTCCTCATCTTCATCGGAGACCACCTCAGTCTGGACTTCATTGTCCACATCACTATCAGCATTTTGGTGAAAGCCATTCAACACATCTCTAGAAGTTCCAAACTTTCCCACATTTTTCTATCTTCTTCAGAGCTCTTCTTACTGTTCCAACTTCTGCCTGTTACTCAGTTCCAAAGTTGTATCCACATTTTCAGGTATCTTTACAGCAGCACCCCACTCTACCAATCCCAATTTACTGTATCAGTCCATTTTCGTATTGCTACAAAGAAATACCCAAGACTGGGTAATTTATAAAGAAAAAGAGGTTTAATGGACTCACATTTCCACATGGCTAGAGAGGCCACAAAATCATGGTGGAAGGTGAAGGAGGAACAAAGGCATGTTTTACATGGCAGCAGGCAAGAGAGCATGTGCAGGGAAACTGTCTTTATAAAACCATCAGATCTCATGAGACTTATTTACTATTATGAGAACAACATGGGAAAAAACCCACTCCCATGATTCAATTAACTCCCACCAGGTACCTTCCATAACACGTGGGGTTGATGGGAACTATAATTCAAGATGAGATTGGGTGGGGTCACAGCCAAACCATATCATTTATCAAGGCATGTTTAATTTCCAAAGAATTGTAGATGTTACTCTTTAATTTTGTTATTTTTAATAATAAAATTATTTTTATTTTTATCTTAAAAATAATTTTACCATTAATTTAATCAATATTAAATTTAATTATTAAACATGGTTATAGCATGTATGTTAATATTTAAAGGGAACCCATTTGGACTGTTAATTCAACCTATATTTATTGAGCACTTATTGTGTGTATTGGGATACAGCATTGAAAAAAACAGATGTTTCTGTGTGTTTTTCCTTTAATATGGTAGTTGTTTAATGTGTTATTACCAAAATTATAAAAATAAAATGTTCTTGTGTCCTCTCACTAACTATAGGATGCCCTTTAAGCTTCTAAATTATAATTTAGGCTAGGAGATATAGGTTGATTTACAAATATAGTAGTCAAGCAGGCTGAGAGGAGAGGGAAGAGTCTTGGAGCTAGTGGGTAACCCAACAAAGGAACTTTTACCTTTACCTATTTATTTTCTATGTGTGTTGAAATCACTGAAGTTAAGACCACCTTTACACTTTCTCTAGTCCAGTGTCATGATATGGCTGTGTTCAGCCTTCTTCCTGGTATTTCTGGTCACTGAACTAGACAAGGGAGGAAATGCTCAAGTGAGAGAATAGGTGTCTGGATTCCTAACATCATAAAAAGCTACATCATAAAAATGCCCCTTGCCCCTCCTATTTGAATCTTACCAACAGCCTGCCTCTTTTGGCAGCCCTTGCTATGAGGTAGTGAAAGTGCCCCTATGCAGCTCCTTCACAGCTCATCCTAACATAGCCCTCAAATTAGAGGATTGTGTTATGCTCCTTAAAACTTCCATTACTTTCTAAATGTCTTCATCAAGAAAAGAGAAAAAGAATCATGGCTTAACATGCTACTTCAATCTAGTGTACCTAACATGTCTATCAGAATTTCCCACCAAGTCAGAGTTCTATGGTGGAATCACCCCTTACTGAGGTGTACTTTTCCCTAGATGTGTTAAATGAATTTAATTCTGTTTCTATTACAGATTTTGGTGGCCTTTACACTACCGTCTAGAGCTCAACTCTCCTATCTTTAATCAAAAATAGATCAGTGTTAAGTTTTAAAAATATTATTCTCACCTGTAAGTCATTAATACTCACTGAATGTAGACATTCCTTTTACCATGGAGAGAAATGACAACCGTGCTTCCTAATGATAGATGTACATATTTATTGCCCAGTGTTTTACCTTACCTGAGCTATATTGATTGCATTTTGGATTCGTACATCTTCCTCATAATCCTTTGTTTTCTGCAATGTTTGCCATATCATGTTTCTAAGTCCATCCTGTTCTTCGTCTCCTTGAAGTTCCCATGAAATTTTCACCAGGTTATACACTAAGCCATAGTAACCAGTCCAGACTACTTGATCACCTGTTTAAAAAGAAAAAGTCTTTGGGAATTATCATTTTATTCACCTTGCTAAAGTATGATTGTGTGAAACAGAATAAACCAATTTTACTATAATTCATAATAATATTCTAAAGTCTGAAATTCTAAGCTGTGGAAATTTCTGACCCTTCACTGCTTTCTCTCCTTTACATTTAAAACAGATCACAGATCATTTTAAAATTTCTAACCACATGAAAAGAAAAACTGCACCTAACTGGTATACTTCATAAATTTAAAAGTTAAATGGGTAAACTGTAAACTACATACACAAAATAAATTCTTAGAATTCAAGTAAAGAGGAATCTGTTCAAAGGAATATGAACACAGGCCACCATGGTGAATTTTTATAATAAAGTAGAGAAACCAGAAAAATACTTCCTGTTATTAAAAAAGTCAAACATTATGAAACATGGTATTTGAACCAAGAAGAAAATGTGCAAATCATGTGAAAAGCATACAAAAACTACTGTTATAATTATAAGGTGAAAAATTCATTTCAATAATAGTGAAATAAATCAGTTGGAATATAGGAAAAAGTAATGAAAACAGAGATTTAAAAACTCTAAGACACTCCTCTTCTAGAACTTATATAGCAATTAGCAATTTATATACATTACCAAGTTCCACTTTCAAAATATGTATTTTCCTTAGAGAAAGGAGAAAGACATTCCTATTTACTCTTTATAGTAATTATTTCTTACCTAGATATTGTATATTGCTATGCAGTAATAGGAAGAAAGAATTCCAATTTAGGTAGATTTGGGAGAAATAAATTTGGGGAATAAAATAATACAGTTATCATAGAAGAGATGAACTTAGCCAAAAACCAACATGAAAATACTGAGTATGTGAAGCAGATAAGAAGAATAAGAAGAGGAAATGGTTCAGAAAGGGAGCTGGAAGAGTTTTAAAGCCCTTTAAATTCCATATTGCACTTTTCTCCAAAACCCTGGTGACAGTCCATTGATGATTATTGCCCTTCTTGAATAAAGATAGAAGAACAACATGAAAAGTCACAATCCTCAACTTTTCCAAATGAATCTAGTTTTCATAATGCAGGTTAATAACAATCATTATTATTATTATAGCTAGTACCGGAGGGGGTACTAACTATGTGGTCCAATTTTAGTTCTCACTACAATCCTGCTATGTAGATGTTATTATATATACTTAGAATAATAAAAGGGAACATATAAACTTGAACTTGCTTAGAAAGCTCCCTGGCATCAGACAGCTGTTGAATGAATGATAGAGCAGGTAAAGGCTGGTCTAATCCTGTCCCATGCAGCACAGTCTCTCCAATTTACACAAGTACTTTTCTTTCTAGTCATGACCTTCCATTCCATTCATAGGAAAGAAAGATTTTGAAAGGAAGAGGAGGCAGAAGAGAAAGTACGTACATGTTTTACAAGTAATAGGAGGAAGGCATATATCCAGTTTCCAATTTTAAGGTATCATCTACCTTTTCTATTATTGGAACTTTAGGAGAGAAAGTATAAGCTGGAAGTAGGAAGCTACAGTTAAGCAGCCAATTATTTTTGAAACGTCATTTTCTCCTTATAGGAACTTTACTAATTTAAATTGAGACATCACAATATTTGAAATAACATATAAAACAAGTTTTTTGAATGAATGGCATTAATATTTTTGCACTGAACATTTGGACTATAATAAAAAAGCCCAAATTTAAGGTTTTGGGGTTTTCTTAAACCATTTTCTTTGTGAATAGTCTTGACTAAAGTGAGAAAAAGATAATCTGTATCTTCAAGTAATTGGCAAGTCTGGGACATGAGAATAATTTGTAAGAGAAATTAGAGGGTAACTGTTAAATGAAAAGATGATGGTCATTGATATAACAATCACAAAAGCAAGAGATCAATGAGGGCTAGAAGAGTAAGGAAAGGGCTGGAGAAAGTATGAGTTTAGAAGACTTGTCCAATAGGTAAATTTGGGAAAAGTGCAGACGAAGATATTGGGTGAGTATTTCAAATGGAAGGATATCTGAAAAAAGGTTAGCTCTGAGAATAAATACTGTAATAGCTTCCTAGTTCTTTCATCTTCCTGTCTTATTATTTACTGCTTCACCATTACTAATCCACGTTGTGGAAACTGACCTTTCTAAATCTCATTATGTTACTTCTCTACTCACAACTCAGCAAAGGATTGCCATTTGTCCCTATGTAAATTCCAAATCGCATGGCCAGGCAATTACTGTCTGTCTTTCTAATATGACATCATTTTGGAACACATCTATCACCACTCCTTTAATCCCACCCCCTCTTGCTAATACACTACAAACAGACAAAACTACTGGAAGTTCTAGAATACACATCTCATTTAATCTTCTAGCTCTTGTATAAACTTTTCACTTAACCAGAAATTATCCTGTCCAAAATTAACTCCACACTACACCTGGCTTCTATCGAGACTCCTGCATTCTTTCTATTAGGAATCCTTCTCTGAATCTCCATGGCTAGCTAGGTGCCCTTGTGCCTGATGTATTGTATCATATTGTACTTGCATATCTCACCTATGGATTATAAACTACTGGAGAAGAGAGAATATCTTTTATTCGCTCAGATATTCCTAGCATATAGCAAAGTGCCTACAACAAAGTACCTACAACATAGTAGATCTAATTTATAAAAATCTGTTAATTGAATTAGGGAAGTAGGTAGAGAGAACAACTAAGTCCCTTTGCCTGGGGCTGAAGTGTTTCTTGGAACACAAGCTTTCAAGGACAAAACTGGGAAAGTCCACAGCAAATCAAGACATTTAGGTCAGGAATATGGCCCCCAGTAGTGAGGTAGTTATACAGACAGAGAAGGGAAGAGATGATAGTAAGGATCTCAAATGAAGCTAAGGTGGACAGTTTATACTAAAAATAAATAAGAGGCCAGTCATGGTGGCTCACATTTGTAATCCCAGCACTTGGAGAGGCTGAGGCAGGAGGATTGCTTGAGGCAGGCCAGGAGATCAAGACTAGCTTGGGCAAAATACCGAGACCCTATCTCTATAGTTGTTTTTTTTGTTTGTTTGTTTTGTTTTTTTGTTTTTTTTTTAAATTAGCTGGGCATAGTGGTGCACATCTGTAGTCCCAGGTACTCAGGAGGCTGTGTTGGGAAGATCACTTCACCCACAAAGTTTGAGGCTACAGTGAGCTATGGTTAAAAAAAAATAGATAAGGTACCAAAGCTAGCTAAAGATAAAGGGGATCAGATTAAATCGTAGATGTTTGAGGAAGGGAGTAACGTTATGTCTGCTCAATGCAATGTCATGTTTATTCAAGCAATAAACTGGGAAACCAATACAGGAGTTTTATGAGGTAATCTAGGTCTTTACTGCAATGGGCAGCAGGAGATTGGCAAGGAAGGGGCAGAAACTTAAGACACTGTGGAGAAGATCTAATTGGACTTCTTAGCTATGGGGAAAGAGTCAGAAATACAGGGGAAAGGAGAAGTACATTTTTAAGCTCAGGAGACTGAAACAATAATAAAACCACTTGAAGAAATGAGAAGAGTGTATAGAAGAGTCACTTTTAAGAAAAAGAAGATAAATATTATTTGGAAAATGTGGCATGGGAAGGGAGACTCTAATGTTCAATGTCCTGTAGTTTGTTGTAAAAATATGGCTAGAATGCAAGTAAAATAGCAAGACTGAGATTGCTGATTTGTGGGTCATTAGCTTGAAGTCAATATAAGTAAGGAAACACATTATTTTTTAAGTTAATAATTCTGGATTGTGAGCCTCTGAGAAAAAATAAGTTTTTGAACAATATTACAAATAAAACATACAGTGAATTTTAACTAATTTCTACATTTACTTACAG
The DNA here is from genome assembly GCF_000001405.40 of Homo sapiens. Classification (NCBI taxonomy): domain Eukaryota; kingdom Metazoa; phylum Chordata; class Mammalia; order Primates; family Hominidae; genus Homo; species Homo sapiens. Next base: position 110,572,473 of record NC_000005.10, read on the forward strand.
ACTCTCAACATTAACACAAATGACTGACAAAAACACATACAAACCACTTTCCTCTATGTATTTTAAATTATTACTTATTGAAGGTCAATATTTTATAAAACTACAATAGTTGAATTATCAAAATGAATACACTTTGGTTTTAGAATCCACAAGATCAATGATAAACCATAAAATATATTCTGATAGTTATGTTTTAGTAAGTCACAATTCCTTTTAAATTCCATTCATATTTTTAAAAGTGAGCTGTTCACCTGTTGATTTAAACTCAATTGAAGTGCTGCTGATGAATAATATTCACAGGGAGAATCATTACACCCAACTGACTGACAGTTAATGAAGAAAAAAAACCTTATAAAGACAGATGGTATGTGTTACAACTGTCATAAAAAGTAGACCACATTCTAATTTGCACATCTAGACATTTGCTGAGAAGCATGCCTGCTATGAAATGTTTCAACAAGGGACCAAGCTGTAGCATAAGGCACTCTTCTGTTCTGCTTTGCGTGACCCTGTGGCAGCTATCAAAGATATCACTTTAAATATACTGAGAGAAAATATGTCTGTGTCTGCAGCTAAGCAGACAGTATCCTAGGATATAAAAAAGCCAAACCAAAACAAGTTCTTAATAAATTCAAAAATTTTATTAAGAAACCACCACTGTACTTGAAAATCAATATTATGCCTTTTCTTTTTATTAGTAATGCCTTATTCCAGTGTTTGAACCCTTTGATAGACTTTAATTGCCACTGAAGAGACTTACATTTCATATATTTAGTGAAAGCGAAATATGAATATTTCTACTTATATGAATGAGTGTACATAAGTATAGCCTTTGCAATTCTGTCAAATATAATATGACACTACAAAATCAAATGTGCCACTTAAAGGTAATTCAAATGTAGAATGTGGTTCAAAACACTGATGTTATGCAATGCCATGTAGAGTTGAAGGAACTAGATCAACGCCAAGAAACTAATGGTTGGACAAGAACCAGTCAGCCAGCCATGCATTTAACTAATATTTACTGAGTGAATGCTAGATGCCAGCCACTGTTCTCTGTACTAAAGAAAAAGACAAACTGCTTCTCTTGGTATACTTAATTCCAATGGACAGAGACAGATATAAAGAAAGTAAGTATAACAGTATCAGTTTATTATGAATGTTATGAGAATAATAGAAGATGGTAATATGACCAACAATGACTAGAAGAAGAAAACTACTGTAGACAGAATGAGAGCAAAACTTCCATGAGGAGGTGATATTCAAGCTAAGATCTAGCTGATGAAGAAGAGTTAATCATTGAAGGAACAAGGGAAAAGCATTTCCAAGAGTGGAGGATGAAAAATGCAAAGGCTTTGAACCTAGAATAGCTTGCTAGTTTAGAGAAAGAGGAGAAAATACAGAACGAATGTATTACAAGACACCTGAGGGTCATGGGACAAGACTATGTCAGGTAGGTATGACCTTTACTTAGATACACTCTGAATGGTCACAGCCAATTTGTGGGCCATGGAAAAGAGTTCAGATTTTATTCTTAGTATAACAAATAACTATCATGGCTTTTTTTTTCACTAATTCAAAATCATAAGATGCTTGTTAAATATTAGTCAACAACTCATTCCTCTCTCAATAGAATACTAGTAAAAGGTACATTTTCCCTGGATACAATTTTATTACCTATAAGCTTCATGTTCTACATTAGCTCTCTAGACTTGTTCATCCTATATGTCTGCTACTTTGTATTATAGCTTTTTAAATGAGAAAAGGAACTGTCACATTTTACCTTTTCGCTTCTTGGTAGAAAATGGACTCTATGGAATATAAGAGGGAAGCAGGAAGACATTTAACTCTTTGAAGTAATCTAGAAGCAAAGTGATGATAGTTTGGACTTGGCAAAGGTACACTAAAGAATTAACCATGCTCAAAGAGAGGGTTGGCCTTTGTCCTTGGCTCTGGGCAGTAATCTCATAGGCCTTGGAATGTCCTGACTAATAAAAATGACATTATTTACCTGGGGTCTTTGGGTATGTTAAATAGTTTATGCTATAAGATTTGATTCATGGTGGGGTGGCTTGGGCCACACTCTATCAGTTTGAACATTGGTGGGGCCAGATACTAGAGACAGCCATGCTGCAGGCAGTTAACCAAGTGTATGTGACCAAGCCCCCCCAAAAATTGTAAATTGCAAAGCTTGGTGAACTTCCATAGTTGACCATACTCTATGTATATTGTCACACATCATTGCTAGAAGTAAATGTTCTTCACACAACTTCTCTGGGAGAGGATAATGGGAAGCTCTGTACTTGAGTCTTTCCTGGACTCTGCTCTATGTACCTCTTCCTTTGGCTGATTTTAATTTATATCCTTTCACATATAAACCATAACCCTGAGTAAAATGACCTTGCTGAATTCTGTGAGTCCTTCTAGCAAATTATCAAACATGAGTGATGTCTTAGGGATCTCCAGACTTGTAGTTGGTGTTAGAAGGGAGGGTGGTTCTGGAGACTCCCAAACTTGCAGCTGGTGTCAAAAGAGAGGGTAGTCATGAGGACTCTTGAACTTCAGAGGAGACAACAATAGAGATAGGGGTAGAAAAATTAGGAATATACTTTTGGATAGCAGGATACAAAGAATTCTAGGACACTATTTTCAGAATATTGTTATACTATAATAATACAAATAATGATAATGATGATATATGTATCACTATATATGTACATAATATATATTAGTGAAATTGTTATTTTGCATATATCATCATTATTGATCATTACATATATTAAACAAATATTCAACAGAATAAACTGAAGAGAACTGAGGTATTATATGCCCATATTTTGTTGTAGGTAATATGGAAAACCAAACTTTAAAAGTTAGCTGATTCTTTTATTAGAATGTGGTAGTTGATTGAAGCACAATTGCAAATAGGATGCCAAAAGGTAGATGAATAATGAAGACACTGAGTAGAATTTGCTTAACTTGAAATTTCATGATCTTTTCTAATTGTCAATTATGAAAATGTATTAACTAAAAATAATTATTGTGGCCAAGATGGCTGACTAGAAGCAGCTAAGGTGTGTGGCTCTTGTGGAGAGAAATGGAAGGGGCGAGTAAATACAGCACCTTCAAATGAACCATTCAGGTACTACAGTTGAGACTAATCAAAAAACAACTCAACCCATGGAGAATGGAGAAAAGCAAGGCAGAATGGTGGCCAACCAGGGAGCAACATGGAGCCAAGCAAACCTCCCCCACTCAGAGAAGCAGTGAGTGAATGTGTGACCCTGGGAAACCATGCTTCTCCCACAGATCTTTGCAACCCTCAGGTCAGGAGATACATCATGAATCCCCTCCACCAGGGCCTACAGTCTGACACAGGGTTATGTAGAGTTTCAGCAGAGCAGCTGCTCAGGCATACAAGGGGACCCGGGAGCTTAGATGTTCTTGCTTTCTGGGCTTCCTGGCAAAAGTAGCCACAACTCCAGCAAAAAAGGAGGTTAGGTCCCTGTACATACTCCTAGGAAAGAGGCTGAATCCAGGGGGCCGCGCAGTGATGGTCCGCAGACTTCAATTCCACAGCACCTTGCAGGCCATCTAAATAGGAAGAGAGGAAGTCAAACTATCTCTGTTTGCAGATGGCATGATCCTACTTTTTGAAAACCCCATTGTCTTAGCCCAAAAGCTTCTTAAGCTGATTAACAACTTCAGCAAAGTCTCAGCATGCAAAATCGATGCGCAAAAATTGTTAGCATTCCTATACACCAAAAGCGGTCCAGCCTAAGGCCAAATTTGGAATGAACTCCCATTCACAAGTGTCACAAAAAGAATGAAATACCAAGGAATACAGCTAACTATGGCAGTGAAAGATCTCTACAAGGAGAACTACAAACCACTGCTCAAAGGAATCAAAGACAATACAAACAAATGGAAAAACATTCCATGCTTATAGATAAGAAGAATCAATATTGTTAAAATGGCCATACTGCCTAAAGCAATTTATAGATTCAGTGCTATTCCTATTAAACTATCACTGACATTCTTGACAGAACTAGAAAATACTGAAAATCTATATGGAATAACAACAAAAAAAGCCTGAATAGCCACGGCAATTCTAAGCAAAAAGAACAAAGCTGGAGGCATTAAGCTACCCGACTTCAAACTATACTGCGGGGCTACATTAGCCAAAACAGCATGATACTGATACAAAAACAGATACATAGACCAATGGAACAGAATAGAGAACCCAGAAATAAGACCACACACCTACAATTATCTTATCTTCAGTAAACCTAACAAAAACAAGCACTGGGGAAAGGATTTCCTATTCAATAAATGGTGCTGAGATAACTGGCTAGCCACATGCAGGAGATTGAAACTGGACCACTTCCTAACACTATGTACAAAAATTCACTCGATATCAATTAAAAACTTAACTGTAAGACCCAAAACTATGAAAATCCTGGGAGACAACCTAGGCAATACTATCCAGGACACACACACAAGCAAATAAGTCATGACGAAGATACCAAAAGCATTGCAACAAAGCAAAACTTGAGAAATGGAATATAACTAAACTAAACGGCTACTGCACAGCAAAAGAAACTATGAACAGAGTAGACAATCTTGGGAATGGGAGAAAATTTTTGCACATTATGTATCTGACAAATATCTAACATGCAGCAACTATAAGAAAATTAAACAAATTTACAAGAAAAAAAATCCCATAAAAAGTAGGCAAAAGATAGGAACAGACACATCTCAAAAGAAGACACACATGTGGCTAACAATCATATTTTAAAAAAGCTCAACATTACTGATCAGTATGGAAATGCAAATCAAAACCACAATGAGATACCATCTTACACCAGTCAGAATGGCAATTGTTAAAAGTAAAAAAATAACAGGTGCTGGTGAAGTTGTGGAGGAAAAGAAATGCTTATACACTGTTGGTGGGAGTAAATTAGTTCAGCTATTGTGGAAGACAGTGTGGCAATTCCTCAAAGACCTAAGGACAGAAATACCATTCTACCCAGCAATCTCATTACTGAGTATATACCCAAAGGACTATAAATCATTTTATTATGAAGACACATGCATGTGTATATTCACTGCAGCACTATTCACAGCAGCAAAGACATAGAATCAACCTAAATGCTTATGAATAGTAGACTGGATAAAGAAAATGTGGTACACACATGCCATGGAATACTATGTAGCCATAAAAAATAATGAGATCATGTCTTTTGCAGGGACATGGGTGGAGCTTAAGGCCATTATCCTTAGAAACTAATACAAGAACAGAAAACCAAATACTGCCTGTTCTTACTTATAAGTGGGAGCTAAATGATGACAACACATGGAGACACAGAGAGGAACAACATACACTGGGGCCTTTTTGGAGGGTGGAGGGTGGGAGGAGGGAGAAGATCAGGATACATAACTAATGGGTACTAGGCTTAGTGATAGTGACCTGGGTGATAAAATAATCTGTACAACCAATCCCCATGACACAAGTTTACCTATGTAACAAAACTGTACTTGTATCTCTGAATTTAAAATAGAAGTTAAAAAATTAAAATTAAAAATTAAAAAAATGATATTACAAAAACATATAAAAATAATTAACTTCTGGAATTCTAACTGGAAACCAAGGATAAAAGTAGTTGATTCTCTTTTCAATAATAATTGTGATTCTAATAAATAAACTACAGGAATATCAGACTTCTGACTTTTGGATTTATTTTAAATTTCACTAAGCTAAATTTATTCTACCAAGAGATGGAATAATAATTATAAGTAGATAATTCTCACAGATTTCTGTATTCCAGGGGCAACAAGGAAATAAAGAAGAAAATAACAAAAATGTTCTTGGAAATTGTAAAAAAGAATATGAATATTTTACCTTTATAACTACATTATGTTACATGCAAAACCTTTTTAAAACCCATAATCTTGAAGAAACTAAGATTCCGAGAGATATAACAAGTTGCCTTAAGTAATCTAAAACTGAGCTGTGACTCATCCAAAATTGCTGACATCCAAAATTGGTGACACCAAATCTAGTCCAGTGAAAATTTGTTCACCTATAACTGCCTTTCTTGAAATCGTATTGGTGTTATTTCTCCTCCTCTTCTTACCTAAATATTTCCTACTTCATCCCATTTGAGGACTTTTATTAATTCTTCTACTCAGTAACCACTGATTAGAAGGGATCTCTTTAAAAAGTGAAAAAATTCTCGTGACATCGGCAAGATGGCATAATAGAAAACACTGGACTCTCTTTTCTATCGTGGAAACATCAATTCGATAGGAACAAATGGATCAATTCTCATTATGAAAAATCCAGAAACTAGTAGAAGGGCTTAGATTTAGCATGTAAATCTAGCCACACTAAAACCAGTAGTAAAAGCAGAAACACCCTTGTGCCATAACCCCTACCATTTGCACAGTGCTATACAATTTAGAAAACACAATTGGCTGGACACTTCGCAAATCTAGGAAGAAAAATGTACATCCAGATCCAGGAGGCCCAAAAGATCTCAAATAAAATTAACCCAAAGAAATTCACACTGAGACACATTATATTCTAGATATCAAAAGTATAGGAGATAATTTTGAAAGCAGTGAGAGAAAAACAACTTGTCATGTCAAGGGGATGATTGTAAGACTACCCAAAGATTTTTTTAAGCAGGAATTTTGCCTGCCAGAAGGGAGTGAGATGATATGTTCAAAGGGATGGAAGAAAAAAAATCTGCCAGGAAGATACTATACCTGGAAAACTGCAGTTTAAAAAAAAAAAACCGAAATACTTTCTCAGACAAACAAAAGTTGAGGGAACACATTATAACTAGAATTGCCTTACAACAAATCCTAAAGGGAGTTCTTCAACTTGAAAAAAAGGGATGCTAAACTACAATATGATAGCATAAGAAAATATAAAACTCATTGGTAAAGATCTTGATACTTAATACTACACTTAATACTATATTAGTATAACAATGGTAAGTAAATCAATTTAAAAATATGTTAATGTATACATAATATAAATAGATGTTAATTGTGACATCATAAGCATAAAATGTTTATTAGAGCTTTGAGAAGTGTAGAGTTTTGTATAAGATTGATGTTGTTTTCAACACAAAATAGATTGTTGTATTTTAGGTAAGACCCATATTAATCTCAAAGGAAATACCTACAGAAGTTACACGAAAGAAAAAGAGAAAGGAATCAAGGCATGCAAATAACAAACACAAACACATACACACACACACAAAAGAAGACAGAGCAGGAAAAGAGAGACAAAAATAAAACATGTAACAAAATGGCAATAATAAATCCTTATATATCAATAATTACTTTAAACGTAGATTAAACTTCCCAATCAAAAGACATAAAGTGGCTAAGTGTATAAAAAAATAGGACCCAAACATAAAGTATCTATAAGGGGGTCACTTTATATTTAAGGATACACATAGGCTGAAAGTAAGGCATGGAAAAGACATTCTACGCAAATGATAATGAAAAGAAGCCAGAGTGGCTATACTTATACAGAAAAAAGAAACAGGCTTTAAGTCAAAAAACGGTCACAATAGACTAAGAAAAATATTATGTAATATAAAAGGATCAATCCACTAAAAAGATATAACAATTATAAATATATATGCAACCAAGATAAGAGCACCTAAATACAGACATTTGCCACATAACAGTGTTTCAGTCAACAACAGACTGCATATATGACAGTTGTCCCATAAGATTATAGTGGATAGAGTTGAAAAAAATTATATTAGCTGGTGACATTTAGCTGTTGTAATGTTGTAGTGCAATGCATTACCTTTTCTATGTTTAGAGACACAAACAGTTAGCATTGTGTTGCAATTGCCTATAGTATTCAGTACATTAACATACTGTATATGTTTGTAGCCTAGGAGCAATAGGCTATACCAGGTACCCTAGGTATTTAGTAGGCTATACCATCTAGGTGTGTGTAAGTATACTCTATTATGCTTGCATAGTGGTAAAATTGCCTAATGATGCATTTTTAAGAACATATCCTTATTCTTAAGCAATGCATAACTATATATGAGGCAAACATTGACAGAACTAAAGGGAGAAATACAGCAATACAATAATAGTAGGAAATTTCAATAATAAGGATGACAACCAGACAGAAAATTAATGAAGAAACAGCCAACTTGCACAATACTAAAGACTAAATAGACCTAAAAGGCATATACAGATCACATAACCCCAAACAGGATAATTTTTTTTTCAAGTACACATAAAAATTTCTCCAGAACAGATCACTTAATAGGTCACAATGAACGTCTTCACAAATTCAAGAAGATTGAAACTATGCTAAATGTTTTTCAACCACAGTGGAATGAAACTACCAACTAATAGTGGATGAGAGCCAAATCAAGAATGCAATCCCATTTACAATAGCCACAAAGAAATACAATACCTAGGAATAGATCTAACCAAGGAGGTGGTTAGATCTCTATAAGGAGAACTATAAAACACTGCTGAAAGAAGTCAGAGGTGATACAAACAAATGGAAAAACATTCTATGCTCATGGACAGAATAATTAATATCATAAAATGGCTATACTGCCCAAAGCAATATACAGAGTCAACACAATTCTTACCAAACTACCAGTATTATTTTTTACAGAAATAGAAAAAAAACACAATTCTAAAATTCATATGAAATTGAAAAATAGCCCAAATTGCCAAAGCAATCCTAAGCAAAGAGAACAAAGCCAGAGGCATTACATTAACCAACTTCAAGCTATACAACAAGGCTACAGTAGCCAAAACAGCATGGTACTAGTACAAAAACAGACACACAGATCAGTGGAACAGTATAGAGAACCGAGAAATGAAGCCACATACTTACAACCATCTGATCTTTGACAAAGTCAACAATAACAAGAAGTGAGAAAGTACTCTCTATTCAATAAGTGGTGCTGGGATAACTTGCTAGCTATAGGCAGAAGATTGAAACTGGGACCCCTTCCTTAAACTATATACAAAAATTAATTCAGACTTAATTAAAGACTTAAATGTGAGACTACAAACTATAAAAATCCTAGAAGAAAACCTAAGAAATGCCATTCTTGACACAGGCTCTGAGAAAGAATTCATGATGAAGACACCAATAGCAATTAAAACAAAACCAAAAATTGACAAGTGGGAACTAATTAAAGAGCTTCTGCACAGTCAAAGGAACCATCAACAGAGTAAACAGACAACCTACAAAATGAGAGAAAATATTTGCAAAGTATGCATCCAACAAAGGTCTGATGAATCTATAAGGAACTTAAACAAATTAAAAAGGAAAAACCAAACAACTCCATTAAAAAAAATGGGCAAGGACATGAACAGACACTTCTCAAAAGAAGACATACATGCATCCAAAAAGCATATAAAAAAGTCCAACATCTCTAGTCATTAGAGAAATGCAAATTAAAACTACAATGAGATACCATCTCACACCAAACAGAGTGACTGTTATTTAAAAATCAAAAAATAACAGATTCCGGCAAAAGTTGCAGAGAAAAGGGAATGCTTATACACTGTTGGTGGGAATGTAAATTAGTTCAGCCACAGTGGAAAGCAGTTTGGAGATTTCTCAAAGTTCTTAAAACAGAACTATGATTCGACTCAGCAATCTCATTACTGCGTATATACCCAGAAGAAAATAAATTATTCTACCAAAAAGACAACATGCACTTGTACATTCATTGTAGCACTATCCATAATAGCAAAGACATGGAATCAACCTAGATGTCCATCAACAGTGAACTGGATAAAAAACATATGGTACATATACACCATGGCATACTACACAGCCATAAAAAGAATGAAATAATATCGTTTATGGCAACATGTATGCAACTGAAAACCATTATCCCAAGCAAATTAATATAGGAACAGAAAACCAAATACCACATGTTCTCACTTATAAGGGGGAGCTAAACATTGAGTACACACGGACATAAAGATGGCAATAATAGACACTGGGACTACTAGAGGTGGAAACGAGGGGAAGAGGCAGTGGCTGAAATACTAATTATTGGGTACTATGTTCACTAACCTGGAGCTCACTACCTGTACCAGGAACAAGCCAAGGTTGTCTACTCTGGTGATGTCTATTTAACAGAGTCCTGAAAGTGCTAGCCAGAGCAATTAGGCAAGATAAACAAATAAAAGGCATCCAAATAAGACAGGAAGAAGTGAAAGTATCTCTGTTTGCAGACGACATAATCTTATATGAAGAAAATCCTAAAGACCCCACAAAATCAAGTGCGTTAAAACCAATAAAGTAAACTAATTTAGTAAACTTGAATGGTACAAAATCAACACACAAAAATTGTTTCTATACACTAATAACAAACTATACAAAAAGGAAATTAGTAAAACATTACATTTATGATAGCAACAAAAAGAATAAAATACTTAGGAATAAATTTAAGCAAATTAGTTAGACTTCTGCATTAAAAGCCACAAAACATTGTTTAAAAACTTAAATGAGACACAAATGAAAAGACATCCTTTGTTCCTAGATTGAAATACTTAATATTTTAAAAATGTTTACACTACCTAACGTAATCTACAAATTCAATACTGTCTCCATCAAAATCTCAATGGCATTTTAGACAGAAATAGAAAAAGAAACTCAAACATTTCAATGGCCTAAAAAGATCCCAACTAGCCAAAACAATCTTGAAAAAGAACAAAGTCAAAGGCATCACATTTACTGATTTCAAAGTATACTTCAAGGCTACATAAATTAAAACAGTACCAGCCTAAAGACTGATATATAGACTAATGGAACAGAATAGAGATCCCAGAAATAAATCCACACATATACGGCCAACTGATATTCTACATGAGTACCATGAATATATAATGGGAAAAGGATAGTCTCTTCAACAAATGGTGTTGGGGAAACTGGATATCCATATATAAATAATAAAATTAGACCCTTATGCTATACACAAAAATCAACTCAAAATTGATTAGAGACAAACAGAAGACCTGAAACTAAAACTCATAGAAGAAAATATGGGGAAAATACTCTTAAAATTGGTTTTAGCAATGATTTTTCGGAAATAACACCAAAAGCACAGGCAACAAAAACAAAAATAAGTTCAAGTGGAACTACATCAAATAAAAAAGCTTCTGTACAACAAAAGAAAAAATCAACAGAGTAAAATGACATCTTACAGAATGGGGGGATTATATTTGCAGACATCTATATGTTGAAACATTAATCTTGAAAATAAGAAACTCTTAAAACTCAATAGTAAAATAAAACTAATAACTTGATTACAAAATGGGCAAAGGACTTAAATAGACATTTCTCCAAAGAAACATAGAAGTAGCCAAATGGTATGTGAAAATATGCTCAATATCACTAATTATCAAGGAAATACGAATCAAAAGCACAATTAAATATCACTTCACAACTGTTAGAATATCTATTATCAAAAAAAAAAAAAAAAAAGAAGAAAAAGACAAGTGTCGGCAGGGTTGTGAGGAAATTGGAATCCCTGCAGTACACTACTGGTAGGAATGCAAAGTGGTATTACTGCTACAGAAAACAGCATACAATTTCCTCTAAAAATTAAAAATGGAAGGGCTATATGATCTGGCAATTCCACTTCTGGATATTGATCCAAAGGAATTAAAATCAGGATCTCAAAGAGATATTAGCATTACCATATTCATTGCAGCACTGTTTATAATAGTCAAGATACGGAAACAACCTAAATGTCTGTTGACAGATGAATGGATAAGGAAAATGTCATATATATATAAAATGAAATATATTCACACCAAGAAGAAAAAGAAAATCCTGCAATATGCAACAACATGGATGAAGCCTGAAAACATTACGCTAAGTGAATTAAGCCAATCACAGAAGGGTAACTACTACATGATTCCACTAAATGAGGTATCTAAAATAGTTAAGCTGCCCGAGGCAAAGAATAGAATGGCAGTTACCAGAGGTTGGTGGAGGCAATAAGAGAATTGCGAATCAATGGGTATAACATTTCAGTAATACAAGATGAATAAGTTCTAGAGATCTGCTGTAAAACATTGTGTCTCTAGATGCAGGATTCATGTGTTTGATTAAATTAGTGATGTCTCTGTCTGTGAACATATTATGTTACTCTTGATGGATGGGAGGAGTGAAGTGTAAAGTGACACTATAATTTTAGCATTCATTTCTGGACCATATTAAATGACAGAAAAAACATTCTGAAGCATGCTGAAGGATCTTAATATAATTCTTACTACTGTAACAAAGAAATTTACAAGCACTTAGCGAGTTATTTTCATTAATGAATATATATCACCATAATTAATTAAGATAGGAAGCCTAAATCTATCTTATTTTTTCTTCTCTGCTATGATATATTATTATAAAAATTAATTTTTAAAGTGACAAGTTGGAATGTACTTTAGCACCATAAATACTTTGGAAACATTGCATTATTTCTGGTTCATGGGTCTTTTCCCTCTGTGTTCAGCTACAGGTGGATTTTAGACCACTGGATCTGAATGGAATACTTTGTATTGTTTATTCTTCAAATATGTAAGGACGATTCCCATAAGATTCCCAGCTCCTTCTTCTTAAGTAGGTGAAGACCTTTACATGGTAAAAAGCTTTGGATTGAAAGTTCCAGCGTGTGTTTTTAGCCCATCCCAACAAAAGGAACAGTTACCAACCATACAAGGGAATAAACAGAATGGGAGATAATAGGAAACTTTTAGTTTGAACATGTACAGGGCTAGATTAAAATTATTTAGTAGGAATGATAGCAAATCTTCTAGAGAAGAGTAGCAATGTTTTCCCTTCATCCTGGTTATGTGGGGCTTTGTGAAGATGATGAAGTAAATTTAGAGGGTGAAGTCTCACCTCTATGGTTAATAACTATTTTCCACAGGCTCCATAGATTAAGCTTTAATTGTTGAAGCAGTGTTGACAGGGTAGAAAATTGTCAGGTTTTCACAATGTTTGTTGGGAAAAAGCATTCTTAGACCGCAAAATATGCCTTCTATTCAAGATTTGGAAAATGGAGTAAAAGTGGGCAGTCTTAGAATATTTGGCCACAGGGATTCTTCTTCCCTCACCTCATATTTAAAATTTCTAGCTTTTCTTCTCACATATTCTAAACTGAAACTCTTCTCCTCTGCCCTCCCTGCAGTTCCAAGAGCTCTGGGTGACAGCTCAACCCAAGGCTGCAGTGAGCATGAGGGAGGAAAGAGTGCCTGCAGCAGTTTCTCATCCAGCTCCCTGCGGTCTCTGAAGTCCCTGATTTAGGGCTATTTTCCTGACATGTCCAGTTCCAGGCCCTTCTCACCCTTACCTTGAAGTACTAATGCAAACAAAAAAGGCAAAAGCATACTGCTGCAACCTAGGGATTTAACAAACTCATCCCAAACTAGTCACTACATACATTTTCTCACAGAAGTTTGCAGGTTTGGAAAGAATATGTTAGATTTTTCGAACTTCTGACTTATAGGTCAACTTGTGGCATACAGCTTAATCACAGGGAAGGGGGACAGTGGAGAGAAAGAGATACAGGTCAAGTTAAGATTTAAAATTGGTCCATTTATGGCCATCTAGCAAGTTTAGAAACCGCAGTAAAGGCATGTCAATAGTAACAAGTGGTATTTCTTTTATTATTATTTCTATTTTATAATAGATACATATATTTCCAAAATTTCACTTTTAACTTATTGTAATTTTCTCTCATTTTTTTCCTGCCCAGATATTTTACATTTCTGTATAAATTTTCCAATCATATCTTTTACAATTTGTGATTTTTCTGTTTTGTTTATGAAACCCTTCCTTGTTTGATGGTCATAAAGGTACTGTGCTCTATTTTCTCCTAGTTATTTTAAAAGTTTTAATTTATGAGAAATTTTTAGAACTTATGTGTGGTTATGGTACTTAATAATCACTTTTAAAAAGTCAAATAGATAATTAATTATCAAAACTATTGGTAATTCTTTCCCCCATGAAAGTGCTACATTTATGAAATATCAGCATAGAAGGCATATTTCCATACACACCCTTTCACACACACACACACACACACACACAATTACACATACAAATGTATCTCAAGATTTTTTTTTACATCAAAAACATTCTTAATATGAATGGGACATAGACATCCAAAGCCCAGAGCTGCTTAGCAATGCTTCCCTGAAAGATGGAGCACAGTAACACAAAACAGCACAGCAAGGGAAGACTTTCACATCCTATTGGTAGACTTACAAAAATAATAAGCCATAGGTAATCAGAGGGTGAGTTTATGTTACTCCTCATAAATTTTTAGATTTAAGTTTATTACTACTATAGTTAAATGCCCAGATGCTCTAGAATCAAGTGTAATCTTATAACATTCTCAAAAGAACACAGTAATTGAGCTGCTGAGTGTTATTTTATTTCAAAAACCAACCAATAAAATAAAAACTTGGATGACATAAAAGAGCAACACAATTTCAGTGGGAAAATCGCAAGTTATAAAAAGAGAAATTAATAATAAAGCAGTATTAGACAAATGTAACTAAAATCATTCAGTATCCAAAAAGTGACAATTCATCCATTTTAAATAAGGACAGAAGTTATCAATTATTTTAGCAGATCAACATAATGAGGCATTATATATGTATGTGTGTGTGTATCTATGCAGACACATATATACATATACACCCAGAGACACACACACACAATAAATTCAGGTTAACACAAAAACAGCACAAAATACACCAGGTGAATATTAAAATAAAACATTTTACAGGTGTCTCACTAAGCTTATAAAATAAACTGTTAGACTTCATGAATCTCCAGCATATGATATTTGCTATGTTATCAAACAAGATGGTAAACTCCAAATGTGTAAATACTGTGGCTGTTCAAATTGCTAGTACCGTGACTATTAAAACTTGCAGACATTAAAACATATAACTAAGTTATGTTAGTTTGTTGTGCACAAACCTGACATTTTCTCTGTTAAAGGAAAGTCATTACTACATTTAGTTGCCAACACACCAGCCATACCTTACTCTTTCCTTGAAAATAGAAGCCACTTTTGTACCCAGATCCTAGGAAATAATTCTTATGGGTCATCTTTTATTATGATGATGGTTTCATGGGTACATGTATGTATATATATATATATATATATATATATATGTGTGTGTGTGTGTGTGTGTGTGTGTGTGTGTGTGTGTGTGTGTGTCAAACTTGTCAGGCTGTACAGTTTAAATATGCACATTGTATTATCTGTCAATTATACCTCAATAAAATTATTTTAGGAATCTAAAAAATAGATACATTTGGTTAACTTCTGTATATGTATATAATATGATCAGTGATACTATACTTTTAGATGTGTCAGCACACAGAACAGTGAATGATTAAGATTGTCTCAATTCTATTGCTAACACATATATATATATTTTTTTAAAGAGTAAAATATTTTCCATGTATAAAAACCACAACCTTATTACTGAATACTTTCTTGAATAACCTTCACCAAGGTAAGAGATATATGAAAGATCTAATAGAATATCATTAAAAGATTCAATTGGTTCTAAGATTCCAATTAACTCTCATTTACTTTCTAAAAAGAAATTATTGCTCTGTGCTAATGATTTTTCTAAGTTAAAATGAATCAAAATGAAACATACAAAGCTATTTCACAACTGTGACATATATTTCATTCACTACTGTCATTGGAGAACCGGCTTAGAAAATCATTCTCAACAAACAAATGAAAGGAAGAATGCCATATTTTACTTTTTCCATTTTGAGACAACACTGAATGGAAAAGCACTTGGGTCCTATGCACATGTCTTCACATCATATTATATTATTGGAATAAATTATTGTAAATCCAGGCAAAGATGACAACACAACAAACTCCCAGCAAACTGAAGAAGTTAATTATAAGCCATATGGAAAACATGTTTTTCATGTACTACAAAAAATTACCACAAGAACTTGGCAGTAAGCAAAGAGATGAGAGATGACAGCAGGGTGGAGAGGTGGTGAGGGAAACCAATGCAATTATCTTCACATACTGGAAGGACTAGAACGCGAGAAAATGAATCGATTTATTTTGGTTGCCTCCAGGGCACAAAATTTAAGCCCAGGTTTGGAAAATATGGAAAGAAAAATTTCATTGTAGTGTAAGGACAGATCTTTCAGAGTCCAAAAGTGGAAAGACCTGCTTTGGGAGACTGGGAGTCCTACCTCTCTGTTGACTTTTAAGCAGACTTTGTTCACTGTTTGCAAACATCTGGAAGAGATTTGTGCATTAGATGAGTGCTGTATGATTGAGAAGACTTAGTACTCTGAGATATTTTGGGGTCTATCATTCATTATCTATTTCTAAATATTTCACCCTCTTATACAAGACACACTAACTCAGTGTCTGTTAGTTTCCCACAGAAGACATCATTTCCAAGTTTTATTATTACAACACAGACTCCAGATAATGCAGGCTTTTAAAAAAATCTATCATTTTTTCACTGTGAAGCCAAAGTAGGAACATAGGAAGACGGCATTTCAAATTTGAAAGATAGAACACAAAGCTGTGCTTCCCTGTTAGTAAAGATATATATTATAAGTCATCAAAAATAAATACTAACAGTCTGGATGCATACGGGTCTGTAACAGGAATTAAGAAAAATATTTTCTTCTGTAATGAGAACATTTTACTATCATGTTTAACAGCTAAATGTATAGGCTAGGTTTTCTCAATCTATAACATGGGAAGTGTTTTAATGACACAGACCCCTGGACCCCACCTTTTAAAAAGTCTGATGCAAAGTTCTAGAAAACGCCCAGGAACTTACGTTAAAAATATGGGCCACACATGATATAGGGTCTGTGGCAAATAATGCTATAGGATAATGACTGTCTGAGAGAATTTCTCAACGTCACCTTTTGCACATTCTTCAACATGCAGATGGACGTTTGTTAAAATTTCATTGAATGGACCATCTAGTCTAGTTAGTTCAGTATAGGGAGGCAGTTATTAGTATGGACTCCAAAATGAGAATGCCTTCATTCAGTCTCAAATGCACCATTTATTAATTATACTTCTTTGGACAAATAAACTTTTATTGCCTCAGTTTTCTCGCTCGAAAATGGGGATAATATGAGTATCTGTGTCATAATCTTGTTGTAATGATTAATGAGTTAAATGATGCATGTCAAGTGCCTAGAAAAATGCCTGGAACATTCAAAGAGCTCAATAAATACATAAAATAAAGTTAATTATTAATATCCTTTATGACCCATAAGGGCAAAATGTTTTTCAAAATCAGAATCTCAACAGGTATCAAGCAAAAATTCTGTATGTTTAAATAAATTAATTTTCTTCACATTCCCTCATAGTTTTTCAGCTCAAAATAATCTCTTCTTTGAGACTATGCTGAAAAAATTTGTATTTCAAATAAGGGCTTATTTAGGCACTTGAACATATTCAAACTTTCCTGTAGCTTAACTCCATTAAGACATGTGTAGGATGGTTCTCCATAAAAGGAATAATAAAAGTCAGACTCTGAATTTCAACCAAATGTTAAATGCATAAGAAATATTTGTAAGCATATAAAAAATTTTCTATTCAATAAAAAACCACCACTCAGCACTTCAGTTATTGCCAGAGACCCCAACTTGAATTAATAGCCATTTGACTCTGTGAAAAGCTTGTCTCACACAAACCTCAGAGTGGAAAATGGACATGTTAAGTAGCCTTCTTGTCCTCTAGATTCTTCAAGTTCTACTCCTGTATCAGATAAACAGGGGTCCCCAAACCTACCAGTCCGTGTCCTGTTAGGAATTGGGCCATACAATAGGAGATGAATGGCCAGTGAGTGAACATTATCACCTGAACTCCACCTCCTGTCAGATCAGTGGTATTACATTCTCATAGGAACATGAACCCTATTGTGAACAGTGCATGAGTGGGATCTAAGTTGCTGCTCCTTATGAAAATTTAACTAATGCCTGATGATCTGAGATGAAGCAGTTGCATCAAAACCATCCCCCACCCCACTCCACTCCACCGTCAGGGGAAAAACTGCCTTCCAGGAAACTGGTCTCTGGTGCCAAAAAAGTTGGGGACCACTGAGATAAGATCAAAGGAAAACATCTTCATATTATCTTCATGGGGGTTGTATTCATCTGTTTTCACACTGCTATAAAGAACTTCCCTGAGACTGAGTAATTTATAAATAAAAGAGGTTTTAATTGACTTACAGTTCCACATGGCTAGGGAAGCCTCAGGAAACTTATAATCGTGGTGGAAGGGGAAGCAAGCACCTTCTTCACAAGGCAGCAGGAGAGAGAAGAGCAAAGAAGAAACTTCCAAACACATATAAAACCATCAGATCTCGTGAGAACTCACTCACTATCACGAGAACAGCATGAGGGAAACCGTCCTCATGATCTAGTCACCTCCCTCCCTAGACACATGGAGATTATAGGTCTCTCCCTCAACGTGTGGGGATTACAATCGGAGGAGATTTGGGTGGGAACACAGAGCTAAACCATATCAGGAGTCATTATTTTAATTTCTTAGAATAATGCCTTCACAAAACCATGATTTAAATTGTTTCTTTGTAATAAAGGCTTTATGTAAAAATGGTCCATAAGAACATTATTTGAGGCCAAGCGTGGTGTCTCACGCCTACAATCTCAGTACTCTGAGAGGCCCAAGTGAGTGGATCACTTACCGCCAGGAGTTTGAGACCAGCCTGGGCAACATGGCAAAACCTGGTCTCTACTAAAAATACAAAAATTAGTCAAGCATGGTGGCACACACCTGTAATCCCAGCTACTTGGGAGGCTGTGGAATGAGAATCGCTTGATACTATTTTAAATGATTTTCAGTGTCATATGTACCTTATACATAAATAAAGTAAGATTCCTCCAGATATATAATGTATATAGGAATAAGCATTACAAAAAGAAATACTTCCTCACCTATAGTTTCTCACTATAATAATATTAAACTACATTAACCACCATAACATCTATTAACCTTTACTGGGCCTTTACCATGCACTAGGTAATATGCCAAGCGTCTGTATGTTTCCATAGTTTTTTCTCACCCAAAGTCCTATCCCATGGACAGTATTCTTATCATAATTATTAGGTAATGAAAATAAGTTTTAGAAAAATTAAATGCTTTGATCTAGGATTCTGATATTCAAGTGACAAAATTAAAATACGGTATGAGTTCGTTTGACTCCAGATCTGGGTTTTTTTCACTCTCAACAAAAGACTTACTAATGTTAAAGGTATTATTATGAGAAAAAATAATTTTCAGTTAAATAAAGCAGAAGCTCCAGATTATTTATATCACTTTTCAGAAAGACAGATCCTTATCTCCCAATAAGTATTTTGAAAAAGCCCACACAGATGATACTACCTTTGGAACCCTCCATTTTCTGTGGTCCTGTGGAACTGGGCTTTATTACTAATGATCATGCATGCAGGACACCCAGAAAAAATCATTTTCTCTATGTGGAAAAATTACTCAGTAATGCTACAAAGGATCATGTTACAATGGACCACATCAGTACAGTTTTCAATTCCTATCATTTGACTGGTGAGATACTTGACAATGTATTTGTCAAGTAATGGCTTTTCTTGGTAGTGACTTATATAAAAGCCAAAGATCCAGTAGAAACATGAAGCGGAAATCAAAAGTTGACGTCTAGAGGTGTTATATTCTCTGGTTATGACAGAGATGAAGAAAATTGCCGAATATATCCTTGGGACATCTTTACCTAAATTTTCAACATGTTATCAACTTATTTCAATCATTTCTCACGAGAAACCACAAAGCTTTGGTAAGAATTGAGCATTTCAAAATAGAATCATCAGTGAGACAAATGCCACTAGTACTATTTATGGCTTCTACAAGAAGTTAGATGTCATAGAAAAATGTACTGACTTTGACTATGAAGAGGCACTTTTCATATATCTATCCTCTTTAATGCAGATCAAACCTTTAAAAGCATTCAACATTACAACATCTATTTGTCCACCGTGTTGAGAAAACATTGATAAAATATGGGTTATTCATTTCATTTCTTAGTTCAAGTGCGAACATAAGAAAGACATCAGTGAAAGCAAAGAAAATGAAAACAAAAACAAAAACAAAAAACAAACAAAAAAAGCTATCCATTTCCTCTAAACCACTTGTGAATGTACAAAGGGCAATTTCTTCAATAATCTAGTCTGTTAGGGATTACCTTCCGCCTCTCTATCACTGTGCCATTTTAAAGATTGAAATGCTGATAGCATGTGACCTGTAGAGATAGCTCTTTGATTCGTAACATTGTCTGGCTGTTGACACAATGGTATTCAGAATCTCCTAGTTTATTCAATGACAAATAATTATACAAAAGTAGTACCAACTTTGATGAAACTGTTGCTCACCATACAAGTATCTAGGTGGCTAGCTCATCTAGGAACACAGGTGACAAAAATCAGAATTGATTGTTCTTGGATGTCATACCAAACAGAAACAAGTGTGTTTATTCAAATTTATAAAGATGAGAAAACAATGACCAAGAATGACTATATTCTTAGCAAGTGTGAGCTCACATAGTTGTCCATAATGTATGGCACTGCTCAGAAGGAAGAAAGCTCACATAATACCAAAAAGATTCTCAGTAGGTCTGCTTTGATGCCATTATAGGTAAAAAGAACAATATTTGAGCTAGGAAGATTTTGGATGTGTTTTCCAGAAAACTGGGAATTATTAAGCTGTAGATGATTAGCAGAAAGACAAAATGTCTTCCAAGAATTCGCCCAAATTCTAGGCCATCAAAATAAAGTCTTCAGGAAAAGATTTGAAAACTTCAAAATAAAAGATTAACAATGAGTACATGAATTCAATAAAATTATGAACTTCCTGGGGGAAAATATCAGATTTTCTTTATCCATTCATCTGTTGAGAGACACTTGTAAAAAATTATGAGACTCTGTCTTCTGCAACCACATATATGGAACTAGAGGTCATTATGTTAAATGAAATAAGCCAGGCACAGTAGGACAACCTGCATATTCTTGCTTATTTGTGGGAGCTAAAAATTAAAACAATTGAACTCATGGAGATACAGAGTAGAATGATGGTTACTAGAGGCTTGAAAGGGCAATAGGGTGATGAGGAGGAAATAGGGGTTGTCAATGGGTACAAAAAATGGAAAGAATGAATAAGTTCTGGTATTTGATGGCATGACAGAGTGCCTATAGTCAATAATAATTTCTTGTACTTTTACAAATAACTAAAGGGTATAATTGGATTGTTTGTAACACAAAAGTTAAATGCTTGAGGTATTCAATACCTCATTTACCCTGATGTAATTATTACACATTGAATGCCTGTATCAAAATATCCCACATACCTGATAAATATATACACCTACTATGTATACTCAAAAGTTGACATTTTAAAATTTTTTAAAAATCACACTGTTGTGGGGAGTCTGGCAAGATGGCCGAATAGGAACAGCTCTGGTCTGCAGCTCCCAGTGAAACCAACGCAGAAGGTGGGTGATTTCTACATTTCTAACTGAAGTACCCAGTTCATCTCATTGGGACTGGTTAGACAGTGGGTGCAGCCCACGGAGGGCAAGCAGAAGCATGGTGGGGCATTGCCTCACCCGGGAAGAGCAATGGGCTGGGGAACTACCTTCCCTAGCCAGGAGAAGCCCCGAGGGACTGTACCATGAGAAACTGTGCTATCCAGCCCAGATACTACATTTTTCCCATGGTTTTTGCAACCCACAGACCAGGAGATTCCCTCCTGTGCCTATACCACCAGGGCCCCAGGTTTCAGGCACAAAACTAGGTGGCTCTTTGGGCAGACACTGAGCTAGCTGCAGGAGTTTTTTTTCATACCCCAGTGGTGCCTGGAACCCCAGCAAGACAGAACTGTTCTCTAACCTGGAAAGGGGGCTGAAACCAGGGAGCCAAGTGGTCTTGTTCAGCAGGTCCCACCTTTATGGAGCCCAGCAAGCCAAGAACTACTGTCTTGAAATTCTTGCTGCCAGCACAGCAGTCTGAAGGCAGCCTGGGAGGATCGAGCTTCATGCGGGAAGGGGCTTCCGTCATTACTGCAACTCCAGTAGGCAGTTTTCCCCTCACAGTCTTAAGGAAGCCAAACTCACTGCAGCACGGCAAAGCAGCTGTGGCCAGACTGCCTCTCTAGATTCCTCCTCACTGGGCAGGTAATCTCTGAAAGAAAGGCAGCAGCCCCAGTCAGGGGCTTATAGATAAAACTCCCATCTCCCTGGGACAGAAAGGGTAGCTATTGGCGCAGCTTCAGCAGACTTAAACTTTCCTGCTGCCAGCTCTGAATAGAGCAGCGGATCTCTCAGCACAGTGCTTAAGCTCTGCTAAAGGGCAGACTGCCCCCTCAAATGGGTCGGTGACCCCTGTGCCTCCTGACTGGGAGATGCCTCCCAGCAGGGGTCAACAGACACCTCACACAGGAGAGCTCCGGCTGGCATCAGGCAGGTACCCCTCTGGGATGAAGCTACCAGAGGAAGGAACAGGCAGCAATCTTTGCCATACTGCAGCTTCTGCTGGTGATACCCAGGCATACAGGGTCTGGAGTGGACCTCCAGCAAACTCCAGCAGACGTGCAGAAGAGGGGCCTGACTGTTAGAAGGAAAACTAGAAACAAAAAGCAATAACATCAATATCAACTAAAAGGACACCCACTCAAAAACACTATCCAAAAGGCATCAGCATCAAAGATCAAAGGTAGATAAATTCACAAAGATGAGGGAAAACCAGTGCAAAAATGCTGAAAATTCTAAAAACCAGAATGCCTTTTCTCCTCCAAATGATCGCAACTCCTTTCCAACAAGGGCACAAAACCGTATGAAGAAAGAGTTTGATGAGTTGACAGAAGTAGGCTTCAAAAGGTGGGTAGTAACAAACTCCTCTGAGCTAAAGGAGCATGTTCTAACCCAATACAAGGAAACTAAGAATTTTGATAAAAGGTTACAGGAACTGCTAACTAGAATATCCAGTTTAGAAAAGAATATAAATGACCTGATGGAGCTGAAAAACACAGCATGAGAACTTTGTGAAGCATACACAAGTATCAATAGCTGAATCGATCAAGTGGAAGAAAAGATATCAGAGATTGAAGATCAACTTAATGAAACAAAGCATAAAGACAAAATCAGAGAAAAAAGAATGAAAAGGAATGAACAAAACCCCCAAGAGATGTGGGACCATGTGGAAAGACCAAACCTACAACTGATTAGTGTACCTGAAAGTGATGGGGAGAATGGAACCAAGTTGGAAAACACACTTCAGGATATTATCCGGAAGAACTTCCCCAACCTAGTAAGAGAGGCCAACATGCAAATTCAGGAAATACAGAGAACACCACTAAGATACTCCTCGAGAAGAGCAACCCCAAGACACATAATTGTCTGATTCTCCAAGGATGAAATGAAGGAAAAATTGTTAAGGGCAGCCAGAGAGAAAGATCAGGTTACCTACGAAGGGAAGCCCATCAGACTAACGGCAGATCTCTCAGCAGAAACCCTACAAGCCAGAAGAGAGTTGGGGCCAATATTCAACATTCTTAAAGAAAAGATAAGCATCAAATAGACACAATAAAAAATGATAAAGGGGATATCACCACCGATCCCACAGAAATACAAACTAACATCAGAGAATACTACAAACACCTCTATGCAAATAAACTAGAAAATCTAGAAGAAATGGATAAATTCCTCGACACATACACTCTCCCAAGACTAAACCAGGAAGAAGTTGAATCTCTGAATAGACCAATAACAGGCTCTGAAAGTGTGGCAATAATCAATAGCTTACCAACCAAAAAGAGTCCAGGACCAGATGGATTCACAGCCGAATTCTACCAGAGGTACAAAGAGGAACTGGTACCATTCCTTCTGAAACTATTCCAATCAACAGAAAAAGAGGGAATCCTCCCTAACTCATTTTATGAGGCCAGCATCATCCTGATACCAAAGCTGGGCAGAGACACCACAAATAAAGAGAATTTTAGACCAATATCCTTGATGAACATTCATGCAAAAATCCTCAGTAAAATACTGGCAAACCGAATCCAGCAGCACATCAAAAAGCTTATCCACCATGATCAAGTGGGCTTCATCCCTGGGATGAAAGGCTGGTTCAATATACGCTAATCAATAAATGTAATCCAGCATATAAACAGAGCCAAAGACAAAAACCACACGATTATCTCAATAGATGCAGAAAAGGCCTTTGACAAAATGCAACAACTCTTTATGCTAAAAACTCTCAATAAATTAGGTATTGATGGGACGTATCTCAAAATAATAAGAGCTATCTATGACAAACCCACAGCCAATATCATACTGAATGGGCAAAAACTGGAAGCATTCCCTTTGAAAACTGGCACAAGATAGGGATGACCTCTCTCACCCCTCCTATTCAACATAGTGTTGGAAGTTCTGGCCAGGGCAATTAGGCAGGAGAAGGAAATAAAGGGTATTCAAATAGGAAAAGAGGAAGTCAAATTGTCCCTGTTTGCAGACGACATGATTGTATATCTAGAAAACCCCATTGTCTCAGCCCAAAATCTCCTTAAGCTGATAAGCAACTTCAGCAAAGTCTCAGGATACAATATCAATGTACAAAAATCACAAGCATTCTTATACACCAATAACAGATGAACAGAGCCAAATCATGAGTGAACTCCCATTCACGATTGCTTCAAAGCGAATAAAATACTTAGGAATCCAACTTACAAGGGACGTGAAGGACCTCTTCAAGGAGAACTACAAACCACTGCTCAATGAAATAAAAGAGGATACAAACAAATGGAAGAATATTCCATGCTCATGGGTAGGAAGAATCAATATTGTGAAAATGGCCATACTGCCCAAGGTAATTTATAGATTCAATGCCATCCCCATCAAGCTACCAGTGACTTTCTTCACAGAATTGGAAAAAACTACTTTAAAGTTCATATGGAACCAAAAAAGAGCCCGCATCGCCAAGTCAATCCTAAGCCAAAAGAACAAAGCTGGAGGCATCACGCTACCTGACTTCAAACTATACTACAAGGCTACAGTAACCAAAACAGCATGGTACTGGTACCAAAACAGAGATATAGATCAATGGAACAGAACAGAGCCCTCAGAAATAACACCGCATATCTACAACTATCTGATCTTTGACAAACCTGAGAAAAACAAGCAATGGGGAAAGGATTCCCTATTTAATAAATGGTGCTGGGAAAACTGGCTAGCCATAAGTAGAAAGCTGAAACTGGATCCCTTCCCTACACCTTATACAAAAATTAATTCAAGATGGATTAAAGAGTTAAATGTTAGACCTAAAACCATAAAAACCCTAGAAGAAACCTAGGCATTACCATTCAGGACATAGGCATGGGCAAGGACTTCATGTCTAAAACACCAAAAGCAATGGCAACAGAAGCCAAAATTGACAAATGGGATCTAATTAAACTAAAGAGCTTCTGCACAGCAAAAGAAACTACCATCAGAGCATACAGGCAACCTACAAAATGGGAGAAAATTTTCGCAACCTACTCATCTGACAAAGGGCTAATATCCACAATCTACAATGAACTCAAATTTACAAGAAAAAAACAAACAACCCCATCAAAAAGTGGGCAAAGAATATGAATAGACATTTCTCAAAAGAAGACATCTATGCAGCCAAAAGACACATGAAAAAAATGCTCATCATCACTGGCCATCAGAGAAATGCAAATCAAAACCACAATGAGATACCATCTCACACCAGTTAGAATGGCAATCATTCAAAAGTCAGGAAACAACAGGTGCTGGAGAGGCTGTGAAGAAATAGGAACGCTTTTACACTGTTGGTGGGACTGTAAACTAGTTCAACCATTGTGGAAGTCAGTGTGGCGATTCCTCAGGGATCTAGAACTAGAAATACCATTTGACTCAGCCATCCCATTACTGGATATATACCCAAAGGACTATAAATCATGCTGCTATAAAGACATATGCACACGTATGTTTATTGCGGCACTATTCACAATGGCAAAGACTTAGAACCAACCCAAATGTCCAACAATGATAGACTGGATTAAGAAAATGTGGCACATATACACCATGGAATACTATGCAGCCATAAAAAATGAGGAGTTCATGTCCTCTGTAGGGACATGGATGAAATTGGAAATTATCATTCTCAGTAAACTATCGCAAGGACAAAAAACCAAACACCGCATGTTCTCACTCATAGATGGGAATTGAACAATAAGAACACATGGACACAGGAAGAGGAACATCACATTCTGGGGACTGTTGTGGGGTGGGGGGAGGGGGGAGGGATAGCATTAGGAGATATACCTAATGCTAAATGACGAGTTAATGGGTGCAGCACACCAGCATGGCACATGTATACATATGTAACTAACCTGCACATTGTGCACATGTACCCTAAAACTTAAAGTATAATAATAATAAAAAAAAGAAAAGAATTTTCAACCCAGAATTTCATATCAAGCCAAACTAATTTGCTTCATAAGTGAAGGAGAAATAAAATCCTTTAGAGACAAGGAAATGCTAAAGGATTTTGTCACCATCAGGCCTGCCTTACAAGAGCTCCTGAAAGAGGCACTAAATATGGAAAGGAAAGACCAGTACCAGCCCCTGCAAAAACATGCCAAAATATAAAGACCAATGACACTATGAAGAAACTGCATCAACTACTGTGCAAAATAACCAGCTAGCATCATGAAGACAGGATCAAATTCACACATAACAATATTAACCTTAAATGTTAATAGGCTAAATGTCCCAATTAAAAGACACCGACTAGAAAACTGGATAAAGAGTCAAGATCCATCAGTGTGCTGTATTCACGAGACCCATCTCACATGCAAAGACACACATAGGCTCAAAATAAAGGAATGGAGGAACATTTACCAAGCAAATGGAAAGCAAAAATGCAGGGATTGCAATCCTAGTCTCTGATGAAACAGACTTTAAGCCAACAAAGATAAAAAAAGACAAAGAATGGCATTACATAATGGTAAAGGGATCCATGCAACAAGAAGAGCTATCTTAAACATATATGCACCCAATATACAGGAGCCCTCAGATTCATAAAGCAAGTTCTTAGACACCTACAAAGAGATATAGACTCCCACACAATAATAGTGGGAGACTTTAATACCCCACTGTCAATATTAGACAGATCAACGAGACAGGAAATTAACAAGGATATTCAGGAATTGAACTCAGCTCTGGACCAAGTGGACCTAATAGACATCTACAAAACTCTCCACCACAAATCAACAGAATATACACTCTTCTCAGCACCACATCACACCTATTCTAAAATCGACCACATAATTGGAAGTAAAATGCTCTTCAGCAAATGAAAAGAACGGAAATCATAACAGTCTCTCAGACCACAGTGCAATCAAACTAGAACTCAGGATTAAGAAACTCACTGAAAACCACAAAACTACATGAAAACTCAACAACCTGCTCCTGGATGACTACTGTGTAAATGATGAAATTAAGGCAGAAACAAATAAGTTCTTTGAAACCAGTGACAACAAAGGAACAATGTACCAGAATCTCTGGGACACAGCTAAAGCAGTTTTAAAAGGGAAATTTATAGTACTAAATGCCCACATCAGAAAGCGGGGAAGATCTAAAATCAACACCCTAACATCACAGTTAAAAGAAGTAGAGAAGCAAGAATAAATAAATTCAAAAGCGAGCAGAGGCAAGAAATAACTAAGATCAGAGCAGAACTGAAGGAGACAGAGACACAAAAAGTCCTTCAAAAAAATCAATGAATCCAGGAGCTGGTTTTTGGAAAAGAATAACAAAATAGATAGAACGCTAGCCAGACTATTACAGAAGAAAAGAGAGAAGAATCAAATACATGCAATAAAAAATGATAAAGGGGACATCACCACTGATCCCACAGAAATACAAACTACCATCAGAGAATACTATAAACACCTTTATGCAAATAAACTAGAAAACCTAGAAGAAATGGATAAATTCCTGGACCCATACACCCTCCCAAGACTAAATCAGGAAGAAGTTGGATCTCTGAAGGGACAAATAACAAGTTCTGAAATTGAGGCAGTAATAGCCTACCAACCAAAAAAAAAGACCAGAACCAGATGGAATCACAGCCGAATTCTACCAGAGGTACAAAGAGGAGCTGGTACCATTCCTTCTGAAACTATTCCAAACAATAGAAAAATGGGGACTCCTCCCTAACATATTTTATGAGGCCAGCATCATCCTGATAGCAAAACTTGGCAGAGACACAACAAAAAAAGGTTTCAGGACAATATCCCTGATGAACACCGATGTGAAAATCCTCAGTAAAACACTAGCAAACCAAAGCTGGCAGCACATAAAAAGCTGATCCACCACGATCAAGTCAGCTTCATCCCTGAGATGCAAGGCTGGTTCAACATATGCAAATCAATAAACATAATCCATCATATGAACAGAACCAATGACAAAAGCCACATGATTATCTCAATAGATGCAGAAAAGGCCTTTGATAAAATTCAACACCCTTAATGCTAAAAGCACTCAATAAACTGGGTATTGATGAACATATCTCAAAACAATAAGAGCCATCAGTAACAAACTCATAGCCAATATCATACTGAATAGGCAAAAGCTAGAAGTATTCCCTTCGACAACTGGCACCAAAGATGCCCTCTTTTACCACTCCTATTCAACATAGTATTGGAAGTTCTGGCCAGGGAAATCAGGCAAGAGAAAGAAATGAAGGGCATTCAAATAGGAATAGAGGAAGTCAACTTCTCTCTGTTTGCAGATGACATGATTGCATATTTAGAAAACCCCACTGGCTCAGCCCAAAAACTCCTCAAGCTGATAAACAACTTCAGCAAAATCTCAGAATATAAAATTAATTTGCAAAAATCACAAGCATTCCTATACACCAATGATAGACAGCACAAATCATGAATGTACTCCCATTCACAACTGCTACAAAGAAAATAAAATACCTAGGAATCAAACTTAAAAAGGATGTGAAGGACCTCTTCAAGGAGAACTACAAACCACTGCTCAAGGAAATAAGAGAGGACACAAACAAATGGAAAAACATTCCATGCTCAGGGATAGGCAGAATCAATATCATAAAAATGGCAATACTGCCCAAATTAATTTATAGATTCAATACTATTCCCATCAAGCTACCACTGACTTTCCTCACAGAACTATAAAAAACTACATTAAATTTCATATGGAACCAAAAAAGAGTTTGTATAGCCAAGAAAATCCTAAGCAAAGAGAACAAAGCTGGAGGCATCACGCTACCTGACTTCAAACTATACTACAAGGCTATAGTAACCACAACAGCATGGTACTGGTACCAAAACAGATATATAAACCAGTGGAACAGAACAGAGGCTTCAGAAATAACACAACACACTTACAATCATCTGATCTTCGACAAACCTGACAAAAACAAGCAATGGGGAAAGGATTTCCTATTTAATAAATGGTGCTGGGAAAACTGGCTAGCCGTATGCAGAAAAGTGAAACTGGACCCCTTACTTAAACCTTATACAAAAATTAACTCAAGATGAGTTAAAGACTTAAATGGAAGATCTAAAACCACAAAAACCCTAGAAGAAAACCTAAGCAATACCATTCAGGACACAGGCATGGGCAAAGACTTCATGACTAAAACACCGAAAGCAATGGCAACAAAAGCCAAAATTGACAAATGGGATCTAATTAAACTAAAGAGCTTCTGCACGGCAAAAGAAACTATCATCAGAGTGAACAGGCAACCTACAGAATGGAAGAAAATTTTTTCAATCTATCTTTCTGACAAAGGTCTAATATCCAGAATCTACAAGGAACTGGAACAAATTTACAAGAAAAAAAAACCCATCAACAAGTGGGCAAAGGATATGAACAGACACTATTTAAAAGAAAACATTTATGTGGCCAAAACAAGCATATGAAAAAAAGCTCATCATCACTGGTCAAAAGAGAAGTATAAGTCAAAACCACAATGAGATACTATCTCATACCACTTAGAATGGCGATCATTAAAAAGTCAGGAAACAACAGATGCTGGAGAGGATCTGGAGAAATAGGAATGCTTTTACACTGTTGGTGGGAGTGTAAATTAGTTTAACCATTGTGGAAGACAGTGTGGAGATTCCTCAAGGATCTAGAACCAGAAATACCATTTGACCCAGCAATTACATTACTGGGTATATACCCAAAGGATTATAAATCATTCTACTATAAACACATGCACACGTATGTTTATTGCAGCACTATTCACAATAGCGAAGAGTTGGAACCAACCCAAATGCCCATCAATAATTGACTGGATAAAGAAAATGTGGCACATATACACCATGGAATACTATAAAGCCATAATAAGGAATGAGTTCATGTCCTTTGTGGGGACATGGATGAAGCTGGAAACCATCATTCTTAGCAAACTCACATAGGAACAGAAAACCAAACATTGCATGTTCTCACTCATAAGTGGGAGTTGAACAATGGGAACCCATGGACACAGGGAGGGGAATATCACACACCCGGGCCTGTCAGGGGTTGGGGGCAAGGGAAGGGAGAGCATTAGGACAAATACCTAATGCATGAGGGGCTTAAATTGAAGAAGATGGGTTTTAAAACCACCACGGCACATGTATACCTATGTAACAAGCCTGCAAGTTCTACACATGTATCCCAGAACTTAAAGTATAATAATACATAAATTTAAAAATATCAGACTGTTGAGGAGGAAAAAAATGTGAGTTTTGTGAGTATCCACAGAAACGTGCAATCCCATCATCATAAGATTATGCCAGAGTACAGGGGGTCATGACCAAAGGGAGGCCAAGAGGTTTCTGGGAGTAAAGATTCTTCCCATGGAGGGCCTTTTCTGGACCTACCACTAGAAGTGAGGAAAAACTAACCTACATAGCCAGACAAGAATTGAAGGCCAAAATTGTAGATGAGTCTGTTTAGTGGTGGTTTAAAAATCATGTATTGAGCTGCTATGTAGGAAAATTTCTGACATTCTGAATAACTAAGATTGTGAACAGCAAAAGAAATGAGTACCTTCATTTATCTTCACTTTATTAATAATATAAACATGGAAGAAATATAATTTTTGTACTTAAGAATAAAGATCTGTTTAAAATTGGCACCAATAAAAAAATAAAAGCTTGAAAAGTGGGAAAAGGTCACACTAATTACACTCAGAAGCTGGGTTTCAATCTATTGATTAAGCCAAAAATATATTGAAGGCAATTTAAAAATAGTGAGCAAGTTTTTGAGAATGAAATGTGTATCTATTTCTAAAGTCTTACTATTTAAAATTATACTCAATCATAATTTCCCCCAAATCAGTGAATTATGGTTTTGGCTAAAGACAATATCTTACTTCTTTAAATCCTTCCAAAATCTTGCAATTATATCTGAAATTTAATGATTTATTTAATTACATTATAAATCCACTATCATAATTGCTTACCTATTATGTATTATTATGCTAGATGCTGGGTTACTAGAAATATAATTCAGACATGATTCTTCAGTATCAATTATCTCAGCATTTAATGGAAGTGAGAATCACATACACAATAGACTATAATAATATATAAATTGCAATTATTTTTCACAATAAATCTGTAAAGTTTTTTTCAACCACAAAAGACTACTTTGAGTTAACATTGTCCCCATAGTACTCTTGGAAAAATCAAAATGTTTTATTCTATTATCTCCCATAAATACAGTAGCAAAATGACCTTTAGTCCTGAGACATAAGACAGCTACTATTTGATGGACTATAAGATGTCAGGTGTGAATATTATACTAGAATATTTGAGTGAAGTAATTGTAGAGAAATCCTCTGGGCAGGAAAGGAGCAAGAGGGAAACAGTAAATGCCTAGAGAAAATGGAGGAAAGAAGATAAATCCTATGGGGAACAAAATAAAAATAAAGAGGAAATAAACTTCATATACACCACCCAGGTTTGCCTAAATCCATCTTTTGTTTTCAAGGAATATAATTTGAATCATCAGTCAACTGAATCTAACTTTTATTTCAGTTGTTTTAAAATTATTGATAAAAATTTTCTGGCTGGGCGCAGTGGTTCACGAATGCAATCCCAGCACTTTGGAAGGCAAACGTGGTGGATCACTTGAGGTCAGGAGTTTGAGACCAGCCTGGCCAACATGGCAAAACCCCAGCTCTACTAAAAATACAAAACTTAGCCAGGCATGGTGGCGAGTGCCTGTAGTCCCAGCTACTCAGGAGGCTGAGGCAGGAGAAAGGCTTGAAGCAGAAGAGGAGGTTACAGTGAGCAGGGATCACGCCACTGCACCGCAGCCTGGGTGACAGAGTGACACCTGGCCTCAAAAAATAAATCATGCTATATTCTTCCAAAATTTGTAAAATTTAAAATTAGTTGCTATTTCTAAATATTAACTTTGAGTAGAATGCTTATTACTATATGTAGACAGTGACACTTAAAAATATTACTCATCAAAGTAAAAAACAATCTACTTACAGTTCTCTGACATTTTTGAAGAGAAATATTCCAAAAGACTTAAAATACTTGTTTCCTTTAATTCTGGAGGTACTGATTTGTCCAAGTATAAAATATTTTTTTGTGAACTTTTACAGTGACAGAAACCAATTAAAGCAGTTTTTCGCAAATCAGAAGTGGCTGCATACAAGCAGATTTCTGCAAGAATTACTGTATATATGTAGACTACATTCCAGGCCCAGGAAAAATCATCTACCTTGCAACTTTCTTCCTGAAATGAGAAAATAGATATTTGATCATCAAAGTATATCTTTGCATATCAATAACTACACAGTGTACTTATAATAATTGTTAAAAGACCATAATAAACTAATATATCTAAATGTGTTCATTAAAAAATGGGTTTACCATGAGTAGACTGCATAAAATACAGTTCAAAGAATAAAAAATATAGATAGCTAATAATTATATATAGAACAACTTTGCAATTTACTTAGCAGTCAATGGAATGTAAATTAATTCAATGAGATACTATTTTCCATATCATATTCAAAAGGAACCTTTTGATATACAACTCCATTCTAGTGTGTGACACTTTCATTTATTGTTCATAGGAATCCAAGAAAGTTATTAATATATCTTATGGAGAATAATTTGGACATCTGTCCCAAAAACTCTGAAAGAAACTTCACAGTCTTTCACTTGGTAATTTAATTTTATTAGCCTACTCTAAAGAAACAGAAGTGTTGATAGAGATTTTATGTATGAGAATAACAATTCAACATTACTTATAATTAACTGTGAACAATTAGAAACAAATTTAATAACCAACAATACAGAAATGTTTCAATAAATGAACTTACCCCAACCAAAATATAAATTTTAATATTATGTAATGAAAATGAAAAATGTTTATGATAAATGGTAACTGTGAATTTGCTTTTATATTTAATTAAATTTATTATTATAAAGTTATGCATACTATATGCGCTAATACGATATACAATTTAAATAGTGGCAAAAATAAAATCTGTTTCTCTTCGGTTCTCTTTTCACATATAAATTAGCAATGTTACCTGATTTTGAACAGACATAATGCTTGAAACAAAATCTCTCACTACGTCCATTAAAGCTTTCAAGCAGGCCATGTTTAATTTGGCAGCCTCCCCAAGGACCAGTAAAGCCAGTACTGAATCCAACCTGAAAATTTTATGGACGAAAGGATAAAGATTTTAATGGAAAATAATAATAATAATCAACTTTTAATGTGAAAAAATGAAATAGGTCAGAGGAAATGCATGTCTGCATTACCAGATACATTTATTTTCAATAAAGATTAGTATTGCTTCTCATTATGGTAAAAATATGCAAAGAAGAGACACATTTTGGTAATATGTTTGAGTTCAGAGTAGTGCTCTGACGAATCTGAGTAATAAATATCACATATAATCACATTTCTTCATAGATCCTGAACAACAAGCAATCAGGGGCTCTGGTTCTAGAGTACCCCCAAAAACTCACAATAGGTTTTAATGTTTAACCTCTTGCAACTGATTCCACAAGGTGAATTTCAAGAGAGTGTTTTCTTCTCAAAACACAGCAATTTTTTAAAAACGGCCTTCTTCTAAGATACTCCAAAGATTCAACACTCTTTGATTTTGGAAAAAGTAAAATTTCTCAAAATAAAATTTATATTTCACATGAATGAAAGACTAGTTTTTTTTAATATTATAAAAACTGGGAAATCATACAAGAATTTGTTAGTTATAAATGTACATATATTTTGAAGGTTTTGAAAATTACATATTTGTGATACTTTTACTAAATGAAAAATAGTTTGAAAGAGAACTAATAAGAGAACAAATTAAAAATTACTTTGGTCATAGCTGTTTATTGCCTTGATTTGTAGACCATTAATAAATTTAAAAGTTAGTATATTTTACAAGATTATTTGAATTTCACAACTGTGATATTTCAGGCCCATAAGTTCAAGGTCATCATCATTTTCTAAATCAGACCATTCTTATTATGAAAATTAAAGACAATTCTTCATATTAAATAGGGCTTTACAGAGGTCAATGTGCTTTCACATAAATTATTTCATTTGATTTGAAAAACAATTTTTGACACATTTAAGATTTTTCAAGACCTTTTTTCATACTAGAAAACTGAGACATAAATAGGTCAGAGGGACTTGTCCAAGTTCCCTTTTTAAGCTAGATTAGTTGTAACTCAAGTTTTCTCCCACCAAGAAGTATTTTCTGTCTTGCAATTCTGCTTTTCTAAACCATTACATAAATGTCAATATTTAACCTTAGTGTGGCAGGTGCTGCCTATTGCCTACCTAATACTATTTGTCTCCTTTTCTAATGGAACATGAATTTTGTTCAAAATGGCAATATGCTCAATTAAGTTAGCCCCCTCAAGATGGAATTCTCTGTATCTTGATTGGAGTAGTGATTACATGAGTGTATACATTTGCCCAAGGTCATAGACCTGTGTACATTAATGTATGAAGTTCATTGTATCTAATTTATATTTCAGTAAGTTTGATTTAAAATTGACTGCCTAGACTCCCTTGAAGCTTGGAATAGCCATACAGTGCAGATTGGTTAATGAGCTAGAAAAGGAAGCATATTATGAAGACTTCCAGGTAAGCTATTATTTTTCTGGTTAAGAAAAAATTTTAAAATTAAATAACAGGTGTTATTTTTCTCCTTTGCGCATCCTCTTCCTCCTGCTTGTAATGCATATATTCCATGATACCATAAGGCACAGCAGCCTTCTTTCAACAAGGAGGATAAAAATCACCTGCTATACATGACAGAAAAGGAAGCTAGAAGAAGCTTGGACCTTGAAGATTTCCTTAAGTACTCACATCAGCACTGCACTACTTGTCATGTGCAATAAAGAAAGCTATTTGGTTATGCAATTGTAGTCAGGTTTCTGCCAAATAAGACAAAATCCTAATTGATGCACTTAACATGATGCTTATGAACATGAACTTTAGAGTTGGAAACATCAAGATGAAATCTTAGCTCTGCCACTAATTAGGCATATGTTATAGGGCAATTTATGTACCCTACCTCAGTCTTAATTTACTTGTCTATAAAGAAAATACAGCAAAACTCACTTTTTAGAGATTATTGTGAGATTTGAATGAAATACTCTATGTAAAATGACAAGGTTCAGAATGCTAAATTGAATTCCAAACATACTATTTCTTTGACATAAAAAAGATATGAGTTTGATAATGTCTTCATTAAAGTCATAGAGTGACTGGAAGGAGAAGTCTATCCAGATGACCACCAAGATGGAGAATAAGTCATTCCCCAGACTACTTATCATTTATACTTCATATTACGGTCAATTAAAAGAGAGGATACTCATAGAGTTCGTAAAACTTCTTTTCCCCTGAATATATTTCATAATCAGAAGGTTTTGATTCTTCTTTTCTCTTTCAAGTCTGGAAAATTGTAGCTAACCTAGGATAGTCTCATTGAACTATGGATTGAAAAAGATCCATCAGTGTTAGCCACCTACGGTAGAGAAATGCTTCACCAGCAACACACTATTTTCAATTAATGCTGCTGATCACAAAATTATCTGTGAATGAAAATGCTTTCGTCAAAAACAGAAACATCAATACTTATAAACTGGAGTTTGTCGAAAACAAAAGTAAAATTGAAAATCAATGCACATAGAAAGGAATTCAAATTGGATTAGGCTAGAAATTTTCATACAGCACTAGCTTCTTTGTGAACTCATTATAATTCAGAAAGTCTCAAGTATCAGCATATTGACTTGGTTTTACATTGCCATGAAATTAAAGTTGTACAAAATAATATGTAACTATTATAGATTTGCTCTAATTTTGTAAATAAAGAAACTGAGCCAGAGTTTTACTGGCTTGTCTAAAATAACAATATATACATACACACATGCACACATTTATAGAAGTTAGGAACATCAGCATTTAAAAGTTTTCCTAGGTTCTTCTTACTCCTCTATATCCATTTCCTCAATTAGTGGATTTTAATTTTTAAATGGAATTAAAATGTCTCTAAGTAGCAACCCTTGCCAACTTATTTCAACATTGCGACAAATATTCCAGAAAGCATTGACAATGTCAAAAATCCACATGATCCCGAAAACAGAAAGAGACATCACTAATAATAGCAACTTAAAGGGAATTTCCATAAACCATAAAGTTGATAAAGCTGAAAGCAATAAGGAGCACCCACATGCCACTTCTTGAAACACAGCAGCCTTGTTTTCCCCAAAAAAAGTAAAAGAAAAAACTTTTTTTAAAAATAATAATCTCTACTGTTTACCCTATTTTGCATAGAATCAGAGAAAGTGCAGCCAATCCTTTATCTTAAGGTACTGATTTTTTTTTTAAGTAGTGAGAGTATTATTTGAGTTCATTCTCATCTCTCCATATTTTTTCAGAGATGATAACATCCTGGTAATGAAAAGGGTAGTATACAGTGTCTATAGGCATGTGGGATGGGAGAAGGTGGGAAGAGGGATGATAAAATTGGAATACAGAAGTGCATTTTTTCCTCACAGGTAAACTATCCAAGAGTAAGGAGAACACAGGAAGCTGCCTGATAATTTTACACATTGAGTGTTGTAATTTTTACCAACTTTGTTATGAATGCTGTGAACACAAACCTCTTATTTAAAAATACAGTTTTTATATATTTCTCCTGGTTCTAGAATAAGTAACTGGAAAATGAAGAAGAGGGAACTATATAAGACTAAGGAAAATAGATTACAGCAAAGGCTAAAGAGAGTATCAGTCTCAGTACTCAGAGAGGGTCATAATTCTGAAAATGATTTCTTACAGGAACCAGAAGTTATTTTTACAAGACATTTATGCATCTTTAATAAAGCCCAGGAATAATAAACCACAAAGAAAAGCCTTGATGCCGAGATGAAAGGTAGTAGAGTAAGGTAGGAGATTGCAAAGAAATTAAAATGTAAAAATATAATTAAAATCCATAGTTGAGGAAGTTAACTACAGAAATAACAGAGAAAAGTCTTTCATAATTTAGAGGAAAATGCAGAAAGCATACCTATTCCTATCTAATTACAGAAGGAAGGAACAAGGAAGGAAGGAAGGAAGGGAGGGAGGGAAAAAGAAAGGAAGGAAGGGAGGAAGGGAGGAAGGGAGGAAGGTGGGTGGGTGAAGGGAGGGAGAAAAATTTATAGTTATGAAGTAAATGGGGCCCAACTAAAGAAAAATATTTCTAATAACAAAAAGTCCAAAATTTAATGCAAGTATTCATGAGAAATACATGGGTTTTCCCACCATAATGTAAAAAATAAAATAAAAATAAATAAAAACCCCTAAGCACAGAGAGGCAGAAGTTGGGAACACATATGAACTATGAGTAGTCAATACAAGACCTTGAAAAAATGTAGACCAGCAGCCATAGTATTTGTGCAGAGCTTCTCAAAGTGAAGTTTCTCTCTAGGTAAAGCACAGGATTTGCCTCAATAGGCTCCTAACATGGACAAGAAAGGGTGCCAGTTAACTCCTGCCTACTAAATCACAAAGATGTTCCTAAAAAATTCTGGACTGAAAATTAAACATATAAAAACAAGAGGACTGACGACTTCGAACATCTCATCATAACTGTGTTAGGAAACAACATAGCAACATTTAGAAATTTGAAGGGGGAATTAAACAAAAAATAAACACTGTTATCATAGAAGTCTATTACCAGATAAAATGTACATCATACTTTTTAGAGAAAAAAGAAATGGTGATAAATGTTATAGCCAGCCAAGGTTCGTATATAATCTTGGCCTTACCTAAGTAATCATAAAACATACTTAGAAATTTATTCAAGCTAAGAAAGAAATTAATAGTATTGAACAGTTTAAGAAAGGAAAATCCTAGTGTTAAATGGCTGCAGGTGAGTAGAAGAAAAATAGGTAAGTTTTAATAAACAAAAATAATTTTATAAATATGACCAAATAATTAAATGCAGATATATAAATAATTATTTAAGGAGAAGACAGAACATCTGAAATAATTACTTAACTATAATGTTATCAGAACTCAAGATTATATTAACAGACTAGGAAGGGGAGAATTAGTGTAAATAAATTTGTCTCAGTTGTTACTGCACATGGAGAAGAGGGCAGTTAGTATTTCATTCTTGATTTTTACTGCTTAGGGAAACTATTTTAAAGAATAAATTTACCTTGCCATTGCCTGATTTTTGTTACTCAGAAAAGATGGATGACAAAAATGTAGGCTTTAGCCTGTCTGTTAAAAGGCTTTTTCTCCTGCTTACAGGACTTCATTCTTTGAGTTCCAGGGAAGCTGGTGTGGGAGAGTGAAGGGATGGAGCCTCAGACAAGCAATGACTGCCCTCTCATCAGGGAAGGCAGAGATGGGGCACTAACTGTTTCCCTCCACCCAGACCTATCAGGCGTTTCTGGCTGTTGATTGGCTGGTGGTAATTAATCCTACCAGCAGAATCTTTCAGTCATCATTTTTGTTTTTATTTTTTTCAATATAATGGCAATTTATGAGACACTGATTGGGGCTGCAGCTTCCGTATCACATAAAACAGTTCTTACTGAATAATTTTAAGCTGAAGAGTGTTATAGTCACAGTTATGCTATAGCCCTGGCAGCATAGTGTATGACAGATTGTTGAGGGGACGAACGCAAAGCAAGGAGACAAGTTAAAAAGCTACAATCGTCAAGAGACAATAAGAGCCCAAACCAAGGTTATGACATTGGGAACAGAGAGCAGGGGAACAGTTTCGAAGTGTAATTAATGTACATACAACACCGTCAGATCCTGAATTGGATGGAGAAAGTGAGATGGAGAAGATAAGATGTCTGATTTGGTTAGCTGGAGGAAAGGACACGACGACGTGTACTGAGGTAGAAATTCAAGAGGCAGGAGCCTGACTGGGGGAAAAATTAGTTCAAATATGAACTGGCAGGACATGTAGTATCCAGGGAAGATCTACAGTCTAACAGATGTTTTTCATATTACTTATCTCATTTAAATTTTTCAAAAGCTCTTTGAGGTTGCTGTTATCTCGATATAACTGCTAAACAGACCCTGGGGTTCATAGGGGTTAAGCAACATTCAAAATTACACAGGTAGCAAAAGACAAGACTAAAATTCATGTCTTCTGGTTTCAGGTTGCATTGCTTTTTCGCTGTATGATAATGTAGCAGCATATATAGTGGGTATTTACCCTTGATACAGACTAAGTTATAATTGGCTCCAGGGATCAAAGGATCAATAAGAAATCCAAGAAATGAATCAAGAAGCATCAAGGAAATAAACAAACAACGAAAACCTACATTGACATTTCAGTTCATAAGAAATGAAGGAGTACTGATGCAAACTTTTGTTGGAATGCTCTAGGTTAGACCATCACATGGACATCATAATTAGTAGGATCAAGGATATAAATAATGTGGATATCAGTGATCTAGCTGAAAAGGAAGTGCCTTGCCGCCCATACAGTTAATTCCTTGTTTCATTCATTTCGATGCAAACACAAACAGTATGTCTGGAAAACACTTGCCATGTTCAAGACAGTTTTAAATTGTCAAGCTTTTTTTTGGAATACACTTATGGAGCATATTAAATCAGTTATTTTGTGTTGGAAGATATAATTTTACGTCATACTGCTCGAATGAAATGCCATACTGCCTTTCTCAGCAGTCTTCATTGGCTAATAATTCAATTATAAACACAATTCATTATTTTCATGTTAGATTAGAAAGTCTTTTGCGTTGACTTGAGCTATCTCCCCAGAGCAAATAGTGCCGTTTATAAAAGGCCAAACCACAGGGTGGAGCATTGAGAGTATGAAGCATCATATAAAATTTAACTGCGTTAAGTGGAAATCTGCCTTCCAGCAAGCTGCTTATCTCCAGCTATGGGCAGATAAAGGCCAATGCATGGCAGCTGGGAGGGGACTCCTGCAGTCCCTTTTTCTTTACTTCATTGGCTTTTATAATTTATTGTCTTCAGTGTATTCTTTCCCCAGTTTTTCCCTGTCCCCCAGCGAGGCTGCTCTAATTCTGTGATTGCCTTCCTTGAGCCCTTTTGTGGATCCTGAACCTGCTGTTTTCCAAGCTCAGCTGAAACCATTTGCTTCTATTTGTTTCTTTTTGTACTGTAGGATCTTTATAAAAGGGGTTACTAGAAGTCATGCAGGGAGATACATGATGAATTATCTACTGACCAATAGCATCAGAAATGGGCATATGAGTACATTTCAATTTCATGGGCACAAGCACAAGCCATTTTTGCCACTATAAATAAAATTTCTTCTGATATTTCAGTTGAATGGTCTCTCTTTGCTTTTAAATCTCGGAACATTTGTTCAACATTATGTTACTTTCCTGAAATGTACGGCAAATGAAATTGCTAAAGTTACTCCTGCTAATGGTCACTGGCATTGAACTTTAGGTGTTAAACCAAAGGTGTCTTCCACCAAGTGTCACAATTTTAAGACTATTTAGTCCAGCAAATCCTGATGAAGTCTTAATGCATCATCAGGGCCTGGTGCCTCAATATTTCTTTTTCATTCTGAATACATGCAGTTCATTTTCTTAATTTTTTGCATGTACCCAGTAGTATCTTAGGAGTACATAAGACCAATATTAAAGATTCTCTAGAAATATAAAATCATTTCTGGTTTTATTTTGGTAATTATATTACAGTGTATATTGTTTATCTGGAGTTATGGCCTCTTGAAACCTATACAGGCCTTTATATAAATAAATATTTTGTAAGGAGAAAAGTTGATTTTAAAATATTTGGTATAATGTTATTATTAACAGAATAGTTAATCAAATTGCTAACCTAAAAACACAAATTATTCTTTTAATGTCAATAGTTTTTGTTTGCTAGAGCCAACTAATCTTTTTTAAAAAAAAGATTAAATCTTTTCCTTAAAATAAAAAAAGTAACTATATAAAACAGAATCAAAACTATTTGGCAGTACTGTTTAAAGCAATTATTGTTTTCCTTTCTATTATGAGCAGTCATTGTATTTTTCACTTTACTCTTCTGTTCATTGAGCATTGTCTAAACACTGCTATCCCCTTCTTCACTTGATAATTTCCAAAATATCCTCCCAGAAAAAGTCAGGATTCAGTGACAGGCTGTCTCAAAGCAGTTATCTGCTTAACAATGCAACTAGAATGACAGTTGAATGATGCATTGGAGAGAGTGCTATATCGAAACTCTTAAAATCTGGTTCCACTCATCAATAAGCCTAATAAACTTGGCCTCAGTTTCTTTATTTTTAAAATAAGAAGAGTTTTGTATTGTCTCTAATGCCCTACATTTATAAAATACTAAGTATTTAAAAAAACTGGTTCATTAATGTTTGCAACCTTAAACACAAATCATTAGTAAGTTAAATTAAATAGACGTGGATGCAATACAGCAAAATCTAAAAATCGGTTAAAGAAAGAATTGAATTCCACCATTCGATATTCTTAATCAGCTACATTTACTGTTTCTGCAATCATTTATACTTTTTATCTGGTAATTATTAGAGTACTTTTTAAATAAATTTGACCAAGTCACACAATATTTATTTTTAGATGTTAAAATACAATTTCAGTTATGTTCTAAATCCAGTTAGAGTTTTCCAAGGGCTTACGTAGTTCTAGTTGTTTGTCATTTTGAAAAAGAAATTAAATATTTGAATCTCCTACAACTTACTTTCTATCTGAAAGAATCACCACAACTTCCAGAATAACCTAATTTGCACCAATGAGAACCTCTAAATTTTGTTTTTAGGAGCTCTGTATTAAAATATACTAAGTAAAATTATATTAAGTGCTATTTATAGTAAATATCTATTTGCATTTTAGTTTCATATTTATAAATACTATTCTTTATTTTTAAAATGTAAAAAATATTGCAATCTTTGTCAAACTGCAATACTCAGTAGGTGTCTCCCATCACACTGTGAGACAGAACAAATTATTGATGAACTCTAATCTAAAGTGTTTTTAGGGAAATTAGGTAAACTTTAAGCCATCCTCCAAAATTCTTTACTTAATCTGGAATCCCACAAACTTCCAAATACAAGTTAGAAAATAACTTTTGTTCATAAAGAATGTTGCAGACTTTTAGAAGGGTCTACAGTTGATTCTGAGGGACTTAGAATTTACATATACAAAGGCCTTTGGTGTAGAATGGGCTGCCAGAGACTGAAAACCAGCAACTAATTAAATAAATATATGTGGCAATTGCATTTTCAACTTGTTATGGCATTACAAGTTATTATTATTTTTATATTCATTGAAAAATAATTCAAAACTGTGATCCTCTTTAAATATTGGAAAAGAGTGCTCTCTGATCAGTTTCCTCAGAAATACTCCTCAACACAAAAAAGGTCATACATGGCAAGCCTACAACTGACATTATCCTCAATGGTGAAAAGTTGAAAGCATCTCTCTAAAATCAGGAACAAGACAAGAATGTTCACTCTCACCACTTTTATGTAACATAATACTAAAAGGCCTAGCCAGAGCAATTAGGCAAGAAAAAGAAAAAAAAGTCATCTAAACAGGAACGGAAACAATAAAACTATCTTTGTTTGCTGACCAAATGATCTTATATATAGAAAACCCTAAAATGTTTATAAAAGCTAACCAAAAGACTGTTAGACTTTAAATGAATTCAGTAAAATTGAAATTTTCAGGTGATAAAATCAACATATTAAAATCAATAGCACTGCTATATACTAATGACAGAATATCTGAAGAAGATATTATGAAAACAATCTCATTTACAATAGCAAAAAATAAAAAAAATAAAGCCTAAGCAATTAAGTGGGAAGATATTCCATGTTCATGGATAGGAAAAATTAATATTGATAAAATGTCCATACTACCCAAAGTAATTTACAGATTCAATGCAATTCCTATCAAAATTTTAATGTTATTCTTCACAAAAACAGACAAAAAATTTAAAATTTGTATGAAACCACAAAATTCCCTGAATATCCAAAGCAATCCTGAGCAAAAAGAAAAAAAGCTGGAAACATTGCAAAACTGGATTTTAAAGTGTATTACAAAGCTATAGTAATCAAAACAGCACGGCAATTGCATACAGACACATTTGCCAAATGGACAGAATAGAAAGACCAGAAGTAAATCCATGCATTTATGGTCAATTCATTTTTGACAGTTACCAAGAATACACAATAGAGAAAGAATAATCTCTTCAATACATGGTATTGGGAGAACTGAACATCCACAAGCAGAATTAAATTAGCCCCTTCTCTCACACTGTATAGAAAAGTTAACTCAAAATGGATTAAAGTCTACTTTAATTATAAAATGAAACATTAACAAAGTAAAGAGACAACCCACATATTTAAAGAAAATATGTGCAAACCATACATTTTTAACCCATATATTTAAAGAAAATATGTGAAAACCATACATTTGGTAAAGAGTTAATATATAAAATATA
The DNA here is from genome assembly GCF_000001405.40 of Homo sapiens. Taxonomy (NCBI): domain Eukaryota; kingdom Metazoa; phylum Chordata; class Mammalia; order Primates; family Hominidae; genus Homo; species Homo sapiens. Next base: position 110,616,582 of record NC_000005.10, read on the forward strand.
GAAGGAACTGAAACAACTTAATAACAAGAAAACAAATAGCCCAATGAAAAAATGGGTAAAGGACCTAAACAGACATTTCTCAAAAGAAGACATACTAATGGCCAACAGACATATGAAAATGTGCTCAACATCACTAATCATAAGGGAAAGGCAAAGTAAAACCACAATGACATTATCACCTCACACCTGTTAGAATGGCTATTATCAAAAAGATGAAAGATAACAGATGTTGATGAGGATGTTCAGAAAAGGGAATCCTTTTACATTATTGATGTAATAACAGTATGGAGATTCCTTGAAAATTGAAAATAGAACTACCATATGATCTAACAATCCCACTTCTATGTACATATCCCAAAAAAGTGAAATCAGTATGTTGAAGAGATAACTGAACTACGTTCATTGCAGCATTATTCACAATAGCCAAGATGTGTAATCAACCTACGTGTCACACTGACTGATGAATAAATAAAGTGTGGTATGTATACACAATGGAATACTATCCTGTCTTTAAGAAGAAGGAAGTTCTGTCATTCATAAAAACATGAATGGACATCGAGGCATTATGCTAAATGAAATAAGCATAGTACAGAAAAATAAATACTGCATAACCTCACTTCTATGTGGAATCTATAAAAGCCGAACTTGCAGAACTAGGTAGTAGAATGGTATAAGGCTTGGGATGGGGAGTAAGGAAGATGGGCAAAAGAGGAGATGCCAGTCAAAGAGTGCAAAGTTTCAGTTAGACAGGAGGAATGAGTTCTAGTGATCTATTGTGCAGCATTGTGACTATGGTAAAAAAAATATATTTTGAAATTGCTAATAGAGTAAATTTTAATTGTTCTTACCACCAAAAAATGATAAGGATGTGAGGTGATGGATATGTTAATAAGCTTGACTTACTCATTCCACAAGATATACATATATCCTAACATATCATTATACCCCATAAATATATACAATTATTATCTGTCAATTTAAAAAATCTTTCCTCCACTGAACTCATGCTGAAACTATGACTCTTCTTTTTCTCATCTTAAATTAACATATGTACAGGAGGAAACTAATATTTGTCAGTCAAGATTTATTTTTGGCTGGGAGCAGTGGCTCACTCCTGTAATCCCAGAACTTTGGGAGGCCGAGGTAGGCAGATCACTTGAACTCAGAAGTTGGAGACCGGAGACCAGGCTAGGCAACATGGCAAGACCCTGTCTCTACTAAAAAATCAACAAACAAACAAACAAACAAACAAACAAACAAAACACCTACAAAAATAGCCAGTGTGGTGGTGTATGCCTGTGGTGCCAGCTACTTGGGAGGCTGAGCTGGGAGGATCACTTGAGCCCCAGGGATGGAGGTTGCAGTAAGCGGAGATCACGGCACTGCAACACTGCATTCCAGCCTGGGTGACAGAGTGAGACCAAAAAAAATTTTTTTTTAAGATTCATTTTTGTTATACATTACAAGTAAGGCATAAAGAAATACAGTATCAGTATATTTTCTCTAACAATATATTGTGTTTCACTGCTTTTGTTTAACAACTTGGAATATAAAGGCTGTTTGCAATGCAGGCATAAACTTTTTGTTAATAAAAAACTGCATTTAATAAAAAAAAAACTATGCAGTGTATGCGTGCACATCTAGCAAAGCAGAAAAAGAGAGAAACGATGTATTGATGAAATGAATTAATACTAAACATGTAAATTGCCATTGCCTTTGGAACTGAGATTATAAATTTGTTTCATAGTCAACTGAGGTGTGATTAACATTTAGGTACAAGGGTTATTTAACATTTAAGCACAAAGATTTCTCCATGAGTTACTTTGGATTTATAGGATCACTCTTACCAGCATTTCTTTTGAAGCTGTGTCTTATGGAAGACGAGATGTTCAAGCACGTTATTCAACTGAGGACTGTTATTCTGAACACAAGACCAAGCAGCAACACAGTGCCAGAGCAGGTGGTTAATTTCATATCCTCCCTGATTAAATTGCAAATGTTTCAGGAATTAAAATATAAAAATATATGAGAAAGAGTACTCTGACTTGAACAAACATGAAAATAAATTTTAAATATACAAATGAAAATGCATATTCTCTTACACTTTATATTTCACCAAGTGGAGCAATTTACATAAGCATATTTTTGAAGTACATACAGTTAACCCGAACCTAATGTATGTATTTTTCACATGGGTCTCTTGTGTTCAATGATATCAGCTCTACAATACAGCAAAAATTCTGGATCACATAAGGGATAGCTATTAGACACAATTGTGGTTCGTAGATTCTATGTGACTTAGTTCTCCCTGACACTTGAGAAAGAAGGAATGGGGAAAGTTTGAACAAAATGCTAACAGCAAATTATGTTTTAAAATGTGGATTTCTACTTTAAGGACCAAAATGTATGCCTAGCAAGACATCGTCAATGTCTGTTAAGTAACTGTTCTTAAAGCCTAAAAATTCAGATAACAAATAAGCTGTTGTTTAGTTTTTCCTTAGAGTGCTTCCCAACAGTTTTATATATTTAATTGGTCTACTAAAGTAATTGGTAGAAAATGATGACATAGCACTCTCTGAATTTTTGCCAACAGTGAAGATTCAAATACACATCCTGTGATAGGTACTCAAATTGTTAACTTAGTTGATATTTTGTGATTTTTATGTTAAAATGAAACACTTAGAATCTAAAGGGCTTCATAATTCTTATTTATTATATAAAACAACATCAGGACTACAATTTCAAGATAATTTTTATGTTGAGTACTTTTCAGATAGAAAGCAAGAAGTTCATACATAAATTTTAAGCTAAGATATTTTAAGTTTCTAATAAAGTGTTTAGTTAAGTCCCATAGTTGTGTATTTATCTACTTTATGTCAGGAATTCCGTTAAGATTCTGGAGATAAAGACATGAGGAAGACAACATCTGTACAAAGCTACTGATTCTGGGGAACAATAATTCAGAAAAGCAAATGAAAACAATTCAGTGTTGACAGTGTTAGAACACACCACAGAAAAGCACTATTCTAAAATAATGTAAAGCATTAGTCTGAGACATACTGACTTCAGTAAGTCCACATATAACTCAATTTTCTGCTTTATGGTAGGGTCTACCCCAAAACTGGAACCCATATAAATGAAATTCTTTTCTCAAATTGCTCTAGTTGTCTCAGCCTGGATGCCTGACAATCCTCAGATTGCAAACTTATTTTGAATAAATAGGTAAATAAATATGTTTGACAAGTTAATGGGTGCAGCACACCAAGATGGCACATGTATACATATGTAACAAACCTGCATGTTGTGCACATGTACCCTAGAACTTAAAGCATAATATTAAAAAAATAAAAATAAAACAAGAATAAAAAAAAACTTCGGAGTGACTCGAATGGTTAATTTATAATAAATATTATTTTAATCATAGATATTGCAGGACTACATAAACTATTCAATTAGGTCAACCATTCTTGCATTAATGTATTTATGTACCATCATCAGAGAAAATTCAGAAAGCATTTGGTAAAGAAAAAAATCAGGATTTAGACAACGAACAAGATTTGAGTTTTATCTTCAATTTTATATTATGCCAATTTTACACATCGTGGAGAAATAAAAAGCATCCTCTCATGTCTGGGATTGATTTGACATACTATTACAAGCTGGTCTGACACAGCCAGGTTATTTTGATCTCCTATTGGACATAAACTCACAAGATAGCAATTTTGGACAATATTACTCTGAGACCATAAGAAATAAACAAAGCCACTTGACAATTTGTTTCTAAGCACAGATATAAACAAAGTCACTCTGCCACCCACAAAATACATAATCACAGAATTGCCCCAACTTTTTGACAGCATCAAACCTCTAGAGAGAACCCTTACTTCCTTAGACTCTTCCCAAGATCATCCAAATAAAGTCCAAATCCTCTAGTAGATTCCTTCTAACACTCTCTTATTAAGACATCCCATAGTTCCTTGTGGTATGTCTCTCATATCTCTCTCTCTCTCTCTCTCTCTCTCTCTCTCTCTCTCTCTCTCTCTCTCTCTCTCTCTCTCCTCTCTCCTCTCTCTCTCTCCTCCTCTCTCTCTCTCTCTCTCTCCCTCTCTCGGCAACAAGTAATAAACCCAATATGTCTAATTGCAGATGTGCTCCTAGTGGCCTTTGGCAGTAGAACATTGACATCATCAAGAGGAAAGGAACCTGCCACACCTGCGAATTTTCCAGATAGGTAGGGCTTATTAGTTAGTCTCAGGAATTTTATGTATTTCAAGCGCTTTTTTTTTTTTTTTTTTTTTTGAGACAGAGTCTTGTTCTGTTACCCAGGCTGGAGTGTGATGGCGTGATCTTGGCTCACTGCAACCTCCGCCTCCTGGGTTCAGGCAATTCTCCTGTCTCAGCCTGCCAAGTAGCTGGGATTACAGGTGCCTGCCACCACACCTCGGTAATTTTTATATTTTTAGTACAGACAGGGTTTCACCATTTTGGTCAGTCTGGTCTCGAACTCCTGACCTCAAGTGATGCACCCGCCTCTGCCTCCCAAAGTGCTGGGATTACAGGCATGAGCCACCATGCCCGGCCCATCAAGCAATCTTCAGCAAGAAACATTTTTTCAAAAAATAAAAAATAAATTTATCAAACTTCAATGAATTAATGTAATGATGATGACTATGTGATTTAATACAATCATCACATATATCATCAGTGCAGAAGACCAAGAGTGAGCAATGTTGCTTACTCTTGAGTTCTGTGCCTTTACCCTAAATCAGTCCTGCTCAAGGTGTGGTTGGCAGATAACTGCCATTTGCAAACTGTTAATTAGAGCACAAAAAATGAAAAATACGTATTTAGACACTTTCATAACAATTTGAAAAATAATTATATATATTCAGTCTATTAAAAATTAAAGCTTGTGTTTTTTGGTCTTTTCTATTTTAGTTTTCAGTAATTTGTCGTCATTATTATTATATTTTACAAAATTATCCATCTGTAATGGTTTGGAAATTTAAAAATAAATTAGGAGAGATCTTTTACCACAGATAGTTTGAAAAGCACTGAGCACTGCCTTAAATGACACCCAGAGAACTTTTTTCCCCTCCCTTTCTTCCTTCTTTCTCTCCTTCCCTCCCTCTCTTTGTTCTCTCCCTCCTTACTTCCCTTCCTTCCTTTCTTTTTTGGCTTTTATAACCACTTCCCACAGTTCTTTCGTCTCCCTCCCTTGCTGTCCAGCTTTGGGCTATCATTTGTAGCTGGAACAATGCCTACTTTGAGAAGCCCACCTACAAAAGTGTTGTTAATCTACAGTTGGCTGAAAATTCAGATAACAACACCAGTTTAGATTTTATGCAAATTTAAGTACATAAATTATGAGTGTCTGACTAGGCTCTCTTTTATAATAGAAATGAGCTTTGAAGCATGGGCTCTATTTTGGCTGCTCAGGGACAGCTTTCTGGGTTTCATGTAGTTTTCAGTCATTTTGGGGGATGATTGACATTGCCATGAAAGGATCTCCCAATACAAAGTGTTACCTGGATAATTTGACGTGAATCATAGGATAATGCTCCTAATTTTAAGGAGTTTATGTCTCATTCTAATAATTCCTAGTAACCATTTACAATTACAGGACAGCACAAAATGTCCCAAACTTAGGTAATGCCTTTGGCTTATCAAAAAGTATTACAGAATGAGATTGCTAATCATACTAGAATGTAAACTCTGTCTTTGCTAGTTTTCAGAGAACTATTTGTACTTCAGAACAGATGAAACTATTTAATAAAAGGTCCACTGCATTGTAGCAGGGTTTAAATCTACCTTCTCCAAAGAACTATTATTACTACCAAGTGACAACTGTGCTTAGAAAATTTAGCTTTTGTTCTTGCGATAGTTTACTGAGAATGATGATTTCCAATTTCATCCATGTCCCTACAAAGGACATGAACTCATCATTTTTTATGGCTGCATAGTATTCCATGGTGTATATGTGCCACATTTTCTTAATCCAGTCTATCATTGTTGGACATTTGGGTTGGTTCCAAGTCTTTGCTATCGTGAATAATGCCGCAATAAACATACGTGTGCATGTGTCTTTATAGCAGCATGATTTACAGTCCTTTGGGTATATACCCAGTAATGGGATGGCTGGGTCAAATGGTATTTCTAGTTCTAGATCCCTGAGGAATTGCCACACTGACTTCCACAATGGTTGAACAATGAGAACACATGGACACAGGAAGGGGAACATCACACTCTGGGGAATGTTGTGGGGTGTGGGGAGGGGGGAGGGATAGCATTGGGAGATATACCTAATGCTAGATGACGAGTTAGTGGGTGCAGCACACCAGCATGGCACATGTATACATATGTAACTAACCTGCACATTGTGCACATGTACCCTAAAACTTAAAGTATAATAATAAATAAATAAATAAATAAATAAATAAAAAGAAAATTTAGCTTTGCTAGTGAGCAAAGGACAGAGTGGAAAACTCAATCCAGCGTTCTGGCTCTGCTATCCAAAGAGCTAATTAAGTGTACCATTTGTCAAAGTCAATGGAAACCCTGTGTCTGGATCACTTAAAAAGACATTAAAAAGAGAAATGGGGTCCAACAGCAGACGAAAGGAAATTTCCTATTCTTAAGTGGAACCCATGCTCATATGGCATGTATCCTAATGTATCGTAATATCCTATAAAACTTTCAATGCAATTTTGGTAGCACTTTGACAACAAATTAAGTAATTATGCCTTTATTTCAATGCATATAGGAACACTAAAAATCAAATACTTTCAAGTGGCCAAAGTATAGTGCTATGGACCTTTTAGCTTTATCAAATGATAAGGGCTACAGGAATAAATTCACAAATCCTCTGCTATAATATACTAAAACAATCATAAGGAAAGGAGATGAGATTGATGCAAATGTATCTATTTCCATTTCTATCACTTTTATGTCTTTTTTCCTCTTTCCTTTCCCAGGTGAGAGAGATGGGTATTGAATGAGTAAATAGTCAACTGACCTGGAAAAGCTAGCTGTACTGGAGAAACTGGGCTGAAACTGGGGAACTTTAAGATATGCAGTCCAGCACTGACTGAGTGCTGATTAGCCAAATCAGTAATTTTAGCAGCACTGTGGCTATGCTATCCTATATTTATAGTCTTTATATTACGAGATAAGAGGAGGAGAAAAAGAAGGTCAATAAACCTGATAGGTCAAACTCTGTTATAATCCCCTTACAGGATCACATAGATAAAGCTGAAATAGAATTTAGAAGAGATTGAATCTAAGCTTTGTTCTACAAAGTGGAAAAAGGCACAGAGAGATTTAGTGACTTGTCCCACTGTAAGCTGATATGTCCCTTTCATGTATTGACATTTTTGCCCCTTCTAATTCAGGCTGAGCTGTACAGCAGTAAGCTTCCATTTGCTTGCTGTGTGTGTGTGCACCAAGAGTGACAAAATGGATTCATTCTTAAAGAGAATCAGAATCAACATTGACAGTTGCCTACCTCACAACCAGACTATTCACATTGCCAAGATTTCATGGAATCCTATTTGTTTAAAGGAAGAACATTCCAATCACAACAGTAAGCCAACATACTTATATCCTTAGATGAAAATATTATAGGTCACTGTTTAGGGTAAAGTGAGGTCCTAAATATATATTTTCAGTAATTATTATTCATGTTTGCATGGCATTTAATAATTTTATAAAGCACATGCTGGTTTTTTTTTCTGCAATCTTTATAACAACCCTGTAAAAGAGTTAGGGCAGACTGATGATGGTGATGATGATGATGATGACTATGACAATAATGACGACTTTTTAAAGATATGCAAATGGAAGTTTGGCGAGATTGGTGGGCCTCTCGTAGATCACAGAACCAGTTCATAAGCATGTCTGTTCTCTTCATGATCAGTGCTCTTTCTGTTGCTCGATATCTTTCATTATCTATTTACTGCTAAAACATTTTTTATACTTAAAAACAGATCCCTTTCTCACATGAGGTAATTTGTGCTCATTAGTAATTATAACCAGAAGGCTCAATTTACTCAGTAAATGTCACTTGTTATATAAATGGTGAACTAGTAATTTGCCAAAGAGAAAACACTTAGGCCCAGAAAGGTTACAAATAGATGTGTTGGAATTTTTTTCTTATATATTTAATTTATAGCCAATTTTAGAAAGGGCTTATAGGAAGCATGGGAAAATTATAAGGTAACACATAACATTATCTAAAAACAGACTCTTCCTCAAATTTCCTTAGGTGTTTCAACTCGCATAATGTTAAACGTATTTTTCCTTTTTTAGAAGTTGTTAAGAAAAACAAATTTTCTATTTATAAACTGTAAAATAATAAATAAGTTTAACAAAAAAATAAAAGAAGTTTTTGAAATGCTTACTGGTCTTTTTTGGAAAATATGTGAGGAAAGAAGAAGGTATTATGGCATTACCCCATTTAAAGTAGTAGAGTTATATATTGATACCTCCTACTCATCCTATTAACTACTCTCCAGGAACTGTGCATATGGTTGCATGAAATTCGTATCTTTGCTGTTCACCCCTCCTCCACAGCTAAACTCATCATTCCTCAATGTCTACTGTATTGATAAGCACCATTACTTAATCATAGTAATGATATCTGATGCATCAGGCAACAGGATATACCCACCATACCAGATTACTCACCATATCAGAATCTGTGTTCTCATATCTTTTCTTATCTTCCACAGGTCTAAAAATGGATTCAGAACGGAGTTCTCTTTTACCTATAATTTCCGAGGCTTTCAGGATGAATTGCACATTTGAAAAGATGTTTGGATACTTGTGATATGATGCTCCAGAGAAAGAAAGTGCTATTGTAAGAAAAATCATCTGTGAGAAATAATTTATTAATATTTTGCACTGTGTTTCATTTGTCTTTTAGCTATTAAACTATAATTAAATTCAGTACTTAGATGCAGAAACTGCTAGTTTCCTATTTAAGATTTATAATGTTATGTATGCCCCCTGGTGGTATAATAGAATACTAGACGGTAAATAATTTATACGTAAGAGTTTATATAATTCAGGACAGCAATTTCATAATCATTGAATGCCCAATTAAATATAGTTACTGTTCAACAATGCTTGGAAACTTCCAGATGAAAATAAATCAAGCTATAATAGATGCTGTATTCATAATGGATACTTTGACATTGTAATTCTACAAAGAAATCAATGTCATTGATTCTAGACAAACATTCTCCAGTTTTATTCCTTCTCAAGATGTTATTATTTACAACAATATGTTGTAAATAATAAAAACAAGATGTTATTATTTACAACAATAAGATAATTTAACATAACACCACATTATATTTAACAGAATCATCTCAGTGCTGCTCTTTGTATAAACTTTTAGACAAACTTTGGGTTTTAGTCCATCCACATAATGGAAAAATTAATAATGACCATTCTACTGGACAGCTATGTGGAGAGGTAGCAGCCGCTGATAGCTTCAGGTAGAAAACAGCCTATTGTTAAAGGTAGAGCTGCAACCTAAGGCTCTATTATATTTGGTAAGAGGGCACAATTTGGGGATTTTATTCTTGTATGTGAAAGAAAGATTTTTTTTTTGAGGAGGGTATATCCTCAATAACAATCTAATATGAGAACTTGAGCTTTTTACTCAAATAATTTTTCAAAGTTGATCTGCCATAATCATCTGAATATTTGGTAAGTCACTATGCTGAACACTGTGAGGAGTTAAGAAGTAGTTCTATAATTTAATGAAGATATAAAAACAAGTGAAATGTTAGACAAGAATTCCTATTCTATCAGTCTACGGCCACATCTGATTAGGACTTATGCTAATGGTACTAATTGATTAGTCTCCATAACACTTCTGCTATTACCTTCTGTTCCCACCTCCATGACTTTTTTCATCAAATATAATTCCCTTTCTTTATCTTGAGCCTCTCCTTCCCTTATCCTACAACATATTAATATTTTGACTTTATTTTATCCATCTAAATAAACTATTGACATATTTACATATCAGCATAAATATTTATAGCTAAGCTTTTTTTGAAATAGTTCACAATTTTTGCCTTATGCTTAAATTTTCCCTCGCTGTTTGTTTACCTCCAATCTGAATTCCGCTTCCACCTCTCCACTGGGTATGCTCCCAAGATCAGCAGTGATTTTCTGATTGTAGAAACTCATCATTTTTCAGACCTTCTACTATTTAATACTTCTATGACAATGTTGATCTTGAATTTCTCTCCTTAAACATAATCACTTCCTCTTACCTCCCTTATTTCCCTTTTCCTGGGCCCTGTTACACCAATAATCCATTAAATGTATGTTCCCCAAGATTTCATTCCTGGAATTAGTTTCTCCCTGCCCCTCGCCCTCGGCCACATTAACATGGATGACTGTCAATTCTATATCCCAGGCAGGCTTCACTTATTTCCCTAGTTCCAAACCTGTTTTCAACTGCTTGCTGGGTATATATACCTGAGTGACCTTCAAATTCAATATGCCCAATATTTCTCCAAATTTTTCCTAGTTCAGAACATCATTATCTTAATTCTATTACTCAACATGCAAAACTTCAGCTCCCGCTTGAATTTCTCACTCTTCTTTACATATAGCTTAGATTCAGTGGATCACCAAGTCCAGAACCTTACTAAAATATGAATTTAACTTTCCTGAAATTCAGGGAGGTAGATACTATTACAAATAAGAAAACTGAGTCACAAAAAAGCTCATAAACTTAAGTGGCAAAGTGAAAAAGCAGAATACAGAATGAGGATTACCAGCATCTGGAACAGGGAGTAGGTCGTGAGAACGGATGGGGAAGGGGGAGATATCAGAGTGCAAAAATTCAGTTAGACAGAAGGAATAAGGTCTAGTGATCTATTTCACAACATGATAACTATAGTTAATAATAATGTATTGCATTTTTCAAAATTGCCGGAAAAAAAAGTAGAGTCAGATTTTAAATGTTCTCACCACAAAGAAATAACAAAAGTATGGGGGTTGGAGGGGCAGTGAGCTGAACAAATGCAATCTGGCCCTGAAGCTGTGCTCTTCAACACTGCACCTATTATCTTTTATGAAAAATAAAATGCAGCTTACGTTCTTTATAGTGACAGTCTGAGCTTATCAAAATATAACATAAAACATTTATAAGTGTAAAAATAAAAGATATTCTACCGTATAAATATGGTTGAAGCCTAAGTAAATGTTGTTTAAAACTTTCTAGATGACCATGCAGGAAAAATATAAAAAGTCGTAAGAAGACCAAATAGCCAATCTGTCAAAAGAGAAAAGAAAAATACATTTTTGTGTTGCATCAATAAATGTTTAAAAACCATAAGAAAAATCAACCATTATATTATTACATTTTCTTTTGAGAAAACAATTTTAAACTCACTCAATATTATGTGGTTTTTAAATAACATTAAAACATTTATATCAAGATTGAAATGCTAGTTCAGCCAAAAAACTTTTATAAATCATCTCTACACTACATATAATGACCAACACTAAATGTTATTTTGTTCTATGCCCTTTAGAACAGTGTTTTTCAAATTTCAAGTCATGCCCCTTAAGTGAGTCATGAAATCAATTGAGAGGAGATTTTTAAATAAAATAAAAGAGAAGAAAAAATATATTTTACTGTACAATTCCTTGTTTCAGTATATAAATGAGTGTATATTATGTTATCCGAATTGCAATGCAAAAGGTATTTATTTCTAAGCATCTCTGTCAAAACAGTTTGAGAACCATTGCATTAGATAGTGTTGAGAACTATCCTACTTCTGCATAGCATGCTGTGCTAAGCTCCCTATTCCCTCATGAAAAAAGACCTCTCACAGGGTCATTATTAAATAAGCAATGCAAAATCTTACTTCTGTAAGATTAGTAAAAATATAGTTTGTTTTACACAGACTACATAAAATGGAATGTCTGAAAAAATATATAATCTGCAACATTTTACAGAAAATTATAAAAAACACATTAACTATAGAAATGGAATACAAGTTTCTAAATTGTGGAGAAGACCCAAATAACAGCAATAGCTGTCAGTATCCAGTGTGTGTGTGTGTGTGTGTGTGTGTGTGTGTGTGTGTATCTCAAAATCCTCTTAACAGCAATGCAGGGTATCATGTAATGATATACATGTAAAAATAAAATAAAATTAAAAAGATAAATCTAATGAAATCTCAGTGCATCATCCAAGACTATAAAGTAAATAAGTAACATTACTGGAATTTGAACCCAGGAATGTATGTATTGCTCCAAAAGCCATGAGCTTTCTACTATGGCAGTGATTTCCAAATATTTTTTATTACAAACCTCTATCATTACTAATAAATTTTGAGAATGCATCATTAATATTTATAAATGTATTCATAAAGTATAAACATACACCATTTGTAGACTTATGAAGTATGTAAAAATAACATGTTTATAAGGCAACAACTTTGTTGTAGTACTGTGTTTCTCTAAGAGACCGAAGTTAAATGTGAAAAAAATATTTAAAAGAATACTGAAATACTCTAGATGACAGAATTAAAGGAAACTACTCTCATAGATATAGACAATGAGTGAATAACTAATCAGAAGGAGGATAATTTAATATTTTTCAAGGACTAGAGATAAATACTGAAAAAAAATATAATATTCAAAAATGTAATAGGGGACAAAACAGAAAATACATGACAAGCATGTCAGCATGAATAACATTTGTATTTATATCTCAATTTGGTCATGGATTTCACCTGACCCAGAGACTATCTTTAGTTATAGCTATACTTGAAAAATGATTTTAAAAGCTTGCATCTTAATATTCTTGAAGGCCAAATTTTTATTGACAAATCTACCTTTCCATATTGTATACTGGACTTTCTATGTATTGTTCTTCATGTATTATTTGTGTACATATTCTCTTTGTTGTTTGACAACTCAAGCTTTGCCTCCTACATTTAATTTCTGCTTGTCAGTTTCTCTTTCTCAGCTCTCCCACATTTCCTTCATTCGACCTTTACCTCCTTCTTCTCTCTTTCTATTTCCATCTCTTCTTCTCTTTTTTTCTGATACTTTTATCTGGCTGTAAAATTGAAGGCTGGATAATATTTATCATGTGTTGTATTTTAATAGTTATATGTTTTTGGTTCTTGCATAGAATCTTGACGATCACTGCATATGTTTCTATCTAATACATATAAAACTGTTGCTGCTTATATGTTATTCTCTATACTTCAGTAAGCAGAAGTCAATCATTAAGAATATTGTACACTTAGAGCTAGATTGAAAGGAAAGAATGTAAACAAAATATAAAAGAAAATATATTCGGGGATCATATGTTTCTGGATCTATTCAACCCTGAGTTACTTCTCCAAAGGGGAAACAAAACTGCATATAGAGCGGGTGATGCATCTTTGATAATACCCTTTAATAAAGCATTCTGTCAAAAAGAAAAGAACAAAAGGGAGGTTTCCAATAGTCTTTCAGATATGTAATGAAAACCCTACAAAGGCAAGGAGGACAATTAAAATGGTTTCTTGCCTGGATTCAAAGTACTTATAGAGCATGCTTATTTCCAACAGATAGTTATATTAGCTAGAATAATAAAGAGCAAGCTTTAAAAATAGTACATCTTGGGATTCCAGTTGAAGACAGCTGACTAGAGACACTGCATACTCATTCTCTCCAGAAAGAAGAATCAAAATTATGAAGCAATAATCATGCCTCAGATGGAACAACTAGGAGAGAACACTGGAGTCCAACAGAGAAGTTATGGGAAATACCTGAGACACAGAAGGTGATATGGTTTGGCTCTGTGTTCCCACCCAAACCTCATCTCGAACTATAATCTCACATGTCGGGGGAGGGGCCCAGTGAGAGGTGACTGGATCACGGAGGTGGACTTCTCCCTTGCACTTCTTGTGATAGTGAATTCTGGTTGTATGTTGTGTGCGGCACTTCCCCTTTCACTCTCTCTCTCCTTCTCTAACATGTGAAGATATGCTTGCTTCTCCTTCACTTTCCACCATGATTATAAGCTCCCTGAGGCCTCCCAGTCATGCTTCCTGTTAAGCCTGTGGAACTGTGAGAATATTAAACCCCTTTTCTTCATAAATTACCCAGTCTCAGGTACTTCTTTATAACAGTGTGAGAATGAACTAATACAGAAGGGAAGCAAAATCGGCTGGGAACACATAGGGGCTTGCTATTGGGGGAAAGTGTGTAAGAACTTCAGTGGTCTATGTCCCTACCATGGACTGCGGCAATCTGAACCATGGCAGAGCTCGTCTACCCACATATTTCCTGACACTAACGTGGACAGTGAGCTAGAGACCCCTGAAGGACATTGCACCAGACACAGAACTTATGCTGGTTCACTCACACCCCTGAGACCTAAGCAACTACAGCAGTGTACCATGTGAGAGTACAGCCATCATGGGGCTGCATCCTCCCTTTAGAAAGATAGCCTGCATATCTCCATATCCCAGGAGCCCCAACTGACATTCCCCAGTGTCTACCCAGCAGCCTACAGTGGCACAGCATTGCTGGACACAAAGGTGCTACGGCGGCCCAGTACTGTGGCCCCCAAGTAGTATTACTTTCCAGAAAAGAGATGGTGCAGCGCATTAACATGGCAGTCCCTGGGACAAAGGAAACCAAGGCACACACTTTCCAGAGCCTGAGAGCTTCCTGTCTGAGGCTATGAGAAGAAACACTGCCTCAGCAGTAGCACAAATTCTGTGATCAGGCTTGCAAGCAGAGAGAGAGATCCCATTCACACCCCCGACCCAACACTGCAGCAGCAATTGCTGCCACTGGGAACCCAAATGAGAGCCAGCTATCTGGGGCTGAGGGCAGTGACCCCACTTCCACTGGTGGAGTGGCCTCTGTGTTCAGGCTCATGCATAGGGATTCTCTCTCCCCCTCTCCATACCTCTGCAGGCCCAGCCACTGCTGCTGCCACTGGAGGCTAGGGCAGGTGAACCAGATGGCACCTTGTCTGGGCCTGGATAGTGACCACACTCCCACTGGCAGAATGACTACCATGATCAAGCTCATGTGCAAAGGGCAGGGCTCCTTACCTTTATGTGTACCACTACAGTGCTGCTACAACTGAGAACAGGCAAGCTTGAGCTGCATGACTGGGGCTGTAGGTGAAGACTGCATTGTAGCCATCTCCAACATCAGCATGCACTGCTCAGGACCCAGAAGGTTGTCCCACAACTGCTACTGCCACTACCTACACCATGCCACCTACCCAGGGAACCAAGAACTCCCTCACCTGCCTGGTCCACCACTGTCACTATCAGGATCTAAGCAAACTACCTAGAGGCGCAAGAATTGGCCCGCCTGGTCCTGCTAATACCAGAGCAAGTATCTTGTATGCTGGGGTACAAGAACAGGCATACTCATCCCACTGTTGCCACCACTGGGGACCAAAGACTAACCCATCTGGAATCCCTGTCCTCAAGCAAAACTTCACCGTAGCCTCCACTCTTAACCACACTCTAAACCACTGGGAAATCATAGATACCACTGATGCTGTTTACAGCCAAAGAAATCATACAGGGACTGCACTATTGCATGTACTCAGAACCAAATACAAAGGGCTCTACTAACCAACACTATGATACATTTTCAGGAAAAAATCCTCCACTGTGAAAGCAAATTCAAAAAATTGGAATAAGTGAATATTACATGAGATACACAGTTTACACAGTTATCAACGTAAGGAAACATGAAAAAAAAACAGGGAAAGATGATACTTCCAAAGGAATACAATAATTCCCCAGCAATATATTCCAATCAAAAAGAAATGTGTGACATCACAGGGAAAAAAATCAAATTATGACACTAAAGAAACACAGTTAGATACAAGAGAATTTCAAAAAATAATACAAAAAGTCAGAAAAAAACAATTTAAGATATGAATGAGAAATTTATCAGAGATACGTATCATACAAAAGAACCAAACAAAATCTGGATTTGAAGAACTTCTTTAATTAAATAAAAAGTACAATCAAGTGTTTAAACAATAAACTAAAACAACAACACAAAAGAATCTCAGAACCTGAAGACATGTCTTTTGATATAACTTGGAGAAAAACAAAGAAAAAGTAATGAAAAAGAAAAAAAACAAAGTCTCTGTGATATGTGTGACATGATAAAGTGACCAAATACATGAATTATTGGTATCCCTAAAGGAGAAAAGTGAATGAAAGGGTTCAAAAACTTATTTAACAAAATTTAACTTGAAATCTTCACAAGTCTACCAAGAGATTTAGACATCCAGATCGAGAAGACCCCACAAACCCAAAATACTTTTCCATGGTACATTACAGTCAAACTGTCTAAAGTCAAAGATAAAGAAAAAATTCTAAAAGAAACAGAAAAATCATCTAGTCAGCCTTGAGCAGACTAAAAGTGGATTTCTCAGCAGAAACCTACAGGCCAAGAGAGAATGGAATGATATATTCAAATTGCTGCAAGAAAAAAAACTTGACACTTGAAAAACCCAAAGATACTATATCCAGCAAAATTATCCTTCATACATGAAGAAGAAATAAGGTCTTTTACAGACAAGCAAATGGTAAGAACATTCATTATCAATAGACTAGGCTTACAAAAAATGTTCAAGGGAGTTCTAAACCTGGAAGAGGAAAGATGATAGTTATTATCATGAAAACATACGAAAGTATAAAACTCATGGGTAAAGCAAAGACACAAAAGAGGAAAAGAAAAGACTCAAATGGTACCACAACAGAAAATTAGCAAACCACAGGGACAAACAACAAGAGGAAAAGAAGACAAGAATACACAAAACAACCATGATATGGTTTGGCTCTGTGTTCCTACCCAAATCTCATCTCAAATTGTAATCTCTATGTGTCAAGGAAGGGCCACGTGTTGAGGGAGGGAGGTGACTGAATCATGGGGGTGGTTTCCCCATGCTCTTCTGGTGATAATGAGTGAGTTCTCATGACATCTGATGGTATTATAAGTCTTTGGAAGTTCACCCTTTGCTCTCTCTTTCCTGCTGCCTTGTAAAGAAGGCCCTTGCTTCTTCTTCACCTTTTGCCATGATTGTTAAGTTTCCTGAGGCCTCCCAGCCACGCAGAACTGTGAGTCAATTAAACCTCTTTTCTTTATAAATTTCCCAGTCTCAGGTGTTTCTTTATAGCAGTGTGAAAATGGACTAATACAAACCAGAAAACAATTAACAATATGACAGGAACAAAACTTCACATATCAATAATAATGTAAATGTAAACAGAATAAATTCTTCACTTAAAAGATATAGACTGGTTTAATACATTTTTTACAAACATAATCTAATTGTATGCTGCCTATAAGAAATGCACCTTACCTGTAAAGACACAGACTGAGAGTAAAGAGATGGAAAAACATACTCCACACAAATTGAAATCAAAAGCAAGTAGGAGTAACTATCCTTCTATTGGATAAAACAGACTTTAAGTCAAAAAAGGTTTTAAAAAAAGGCAAGAACATTAAATAATGACAAAGGAATCAATCCAGGAAGAGGATATTATAATTCTAAATATATATGCACCCAACAGGGAGCACCCAGATTCACAAAACAAATACTACTAGATCTAAATAGAAATATAGACTCCAATACATTAATAGTGGAGAACTTCAACACTCGTCCCTTAGCATAAGACATATTATTTAGATAGAATATCAACAAAGAGACATTGTATTTAACTTGGACTTTAGACCAAATGGACATTAAAGATATTCACAGAATATTTTTCCCAACACAACAATAGGATGCACATTCTTCTCATTAGCACATGGAATATTCTCCAGGTTAGATCATATGCTAGGCAAAAAATAAGTCTCAACAAATTTTTAAAATCAAAATCACACCAAGTATCTTCTCAGACTATAATGAAACACAACTGGAAATCAATACCAAGAGGAACTTTGAAAACTATAAAAATACATGGAAATTAAACAACATGTTTCTGAACAACCACTGGGTCAATGAAGAGGTTAAAATGGAAATTAAAAAAAAAAGTTTTGAAACAAATGAAAATGAAAGCACAATATACTGAAACCTGAGAGACAGAGCAAAAGCAGTGTTAAGAAGGGTGTTTATAGCAATAAATTCCTGCATCAAAAAAACAGAAAGATTTCAAATAATCTAATGATGCACTTCAAGGAACTAGTAAAGCAAGGACAAACCAAACTCAAAATTAGTAGAAGATGACAAATAATAAAGATCAAAGAAGAAATAAATGAAATTGAGACTAAAAAAGCAACACAAAAGATGAACAAAATGAAAAAGTTTTTTTAAAGATAAAATTGATCAACTGCTAGCTAAACTAACCAAGGAAAGAAGAGATAAGGCCACTCAAACATAATCAAAAGTGAAAAAGTAGATATTACAATTAATACCACAGAAGTACAAAAGATCATCAGAGACTATTGTAAACAACTATACACTAACAAACTGGAAACTGGAGGAAACGGATAAATTCCTGAAAACATACAACCTACCAAGATTGACTCAGGAAGAAATACAGAACCTGACAATACCAATGAGTAGCAAGATTGAATCATTAACAAAAAGATTCCCCCAAAAAAGAAAAGTCCAGTACTAGATGGGTTCACTGCTGAATTCTACCAAATAGATAATGAAAAACTAATACCAACCCTCCTCAAACTATTCCCAAAAGTAAAAGGCGAGGGAACTCTCCCTAACACATTTCCCAAGGCCAGCGTTACCCTAATACCAAAACCAGAAAAGGTGCAACAAAGAAAGAAAACTACAGGCTAATATCCCTAATGCACATAGACTCCAAAAACCTCAACAAAATACTAGCAAACTGAATCCAACAGCACATCAAAAAGATAATACAACACGATCAAATTGGATTTATACCAGGGAATCAAGAATGATTCAACATATGCAAATCAATAAACATGATAAATCACAACAGAATGAAGAACAAAAACCGTATGATCATCTCAGATGCAGAAAAAGCATTTGAAAAAATTCAGCATCCCTTCATGATAAAAAGTCTCCAGACTAGGCATAGAAGGAACATGCCTCAAAATAATAAAGACCATATACCACAATTAAATATTATTTCACTCCAGTTAGAATGGCTATTATTAAAAAGACAAAAAAAAATACACATGATGGCGAGGATACAGAGAAAAGAGAATGCATATGCTATTGGTGGAAGTGTAAATTAGTACAGCCACTATGGAAAACAGTGTTTAGGTTTCTAAGAAACTAAAAATAGAACTACCATATTATCCAGCAATTCCACTAGTGGGAATTTATCTTTTAGGAAGATAAAGAAAATCAGTGTATTATAGGAATACCTGCACTCTCGTGTTTACTGAAGCACTCTTCACAATAGTAAAGATATGGAATTAACGTAAGTATCCATTAATGGGTGATTAGATAAAGAAAATGTGGTGTATATACACAATGCAATACAATTTGGCAATAAAATAATGAAATGTCATTTGCAGTAATATGGATGGAACTGGGAGTCACTATGTTAAATGAAATAAGCTAGGCACAGAAATACAAAAACCACATGTTCTCACTCACGTGTGGAAGCTAAAAGACTTGCTCTCATGGACAAAGAGAACAGAATAATATTATAGATATCAGAGACTAAAAAGGGTGGGTAAATGGGAGGGGAAAATAAAGAGAAGTTGGTTAATGGGTACAAATATAGCATTAGATAGAATGTTTGATACTAGAGTAGGGTGACTATACTTACCAACAATGCTTTGTATATTTCAAAGTAACTAGAAGAGAGGATTTGAAATGATGCAAACACATAGAAATAATAAATACTCAAAGCGATGGATACCCTAAATATCCTGACTTGTTCATTACACATGCTAGTCATGTAACAAACACTAACATGTACTTCATAAATATTTAAAATGTTATTTATATATCAATAGAAGAAAAAATAAGGTAAAAATTAGTAAATCTGAGAACCAAGGTAGATGTGTAGCATCATAGCTGAGAGTTCACTGGACTCTGTAGCCACATTGAATATCAAAACTCTCTCTGCTTAGACTTTGGGCAAGTCACTTAAAACTCTCTATGCCACAGTGAGATGTAGAATATGTGAAATCATGAATAATCCTCTTAGGATAGTTGTGAGAATAAAATAAGTTAATGTGTCTAATATATTTAAAGCACTTATCATTGTGTAAGGCACATAGTTAAGTAAGGTTTAAGTGTTTGCAGCTGCTATCAGAACTGGTACAAATTATCTGGCTTTGCAGATAACAGGGCATGTGCAAAGTATAAGCAATATGCTCCATGCATAAAACTATATTTTGTAGCTATTTTTTTCTTGCTAGCAGAAATACAAAAGGCAAGAAATGGAGAAAGGTCACTGAAGGAGATGAGAAAGAAAGGAGATAAAAGCCAGACTTGCTCCATGTTTTTCTATTCCATTTTAAAAATTTTATCACATTTATTTTTTCATTATAAATATGTATATTTACATTTTATTTTTATATATTTTATTTTTACTTATATATATTGTTTTCATTATAAATATAAATACATATTTTAGTGGACAGTTTTGGAAATACAGAAAAAGAAAAAAAATCATCATAAGCTCACCATCCCAAAACAGTTATTGGTAATATCTTGACTATTTTCTTCAATCCTCCATCTACGCAAAGCTCAGTTTTTTGCACGGTTAATTTCTATTATGTATTCTCTGTATCTACTTTTGCTTGGTCTCCACAAGTCTTTTACTACCAAATGTGTCAGAGAGCATCTAAGCTTGATTTACAATGACTGAAATGTGGTTGTCTCCCCAAAATGTTCAACTGATGGACTGATTCATCAATGTTCTCTCATGCTCGATTTCTAACAGTTTATAATCAAAATTTAATTTAAAAAACCATTTCTGCATAATCAATTTAATTTGTTTCATTCATATATATATGAACATATATGTGTATATATATATATAAAAAACCATCTTAAAAAATACTTTTAGCCTTTCTTTTCTTTCTTTGCAGTAAAACCATTAGTTAAACTACATTTGTTTGACTAATAATATATTTTACAGCAGTCAACCATGATCATCACTGAGAGTGAAACAATATGATCTCAAGGACATTATAAAATATGAGTTACCTGAAAAGAGTTTTTCATTTTTATAGATCTAAAGTGACATAGAATATTAGAAGAACAACTAAGTTTCCCAAATTGGGCAGCTATTTAAGGTTATTTGTCAGCATTTTTAAATGGCAAAGGAGGTGGCATTTAAAAGTCCTTAAAATAGAAAAGAAAAACTCTATATATACTTAGAGAAACAGTTAAGTAGAAGTATATTGTTTTTTTAATGAAATGTTATTTTCTTATATAGTTTGTGACATTATATTTTCTCAAACTATCTCCATTTAGATATTAAGCAATAATAACGTACTACTCACAATTAGAGAAGATTAAACTACCAAACAAAAGAATATTCTATAATAAAACTAAATGTTCTGTTTTGATCCTAAAACAGATGTCATGTTGTTACATGTAGTATGTGAAATATTTAAAAACATTAAGAAGTTTTTCAAAACATACCTTTGCTAGCTTTATTTCAACTGAATATAAATATGTTTTGAGGGATGCATCACAACACAGTCTGTATAAAACCGATTCCGCAACAAAAAATAAGGCAGGCAGATGATCATAATCAAAGGAAGCATGGTCCAGAGATGCATAAAGCATATTTAAAGATTCTGAAATATTAAAAATATAGAAACTGCATCATTTGAAAATCATCCTGTTTTTCCACATGCTATAATTACTTTTTGTAATTATTTCCTGTCATTAAGACCAAATTGCAGTTTTAAAATATATTTACAAATTCTCTTTGACACCTTTCTCATCAAGAGGTGATGTCTATATGCTCTTCTCCTTAAACTTGAGCAGGCCCTGTGACAGTTTCAACCAATAGAATGTGGCAGAAATGACACTATGTGACTTCTAAGACTGAATCAGAAAAGGCACCAATGCTTCCACCTGGATCTCTCTCTCTCTCAAGATACTAGCTTTGGAACCCTAAGCTGCCATGTAGGAAGTTCAACTCCATGGCATGAAGCAACTGAAACAGAAGTCACCAAGGTCGAGAGGCTAGAGGAAGGAAGAAATGTCCAAGGGGGCTCAGCTATTATAGATCCAACACTATACAGGCTAAATAAATCACCAGGCCACACACATCGTGGTGGAGAAATAGGACAGAACCAGATGATAAAAGGCAGTGCGAAAGATAAAAAGGGAATAGCAGAAGACTAGAGAATCAAGGTAGAGGAAACAGGGCCAACCGGTGAAGCTGAAGGAAGAAGAATATAGAGCTAAGAGCCTAGAGAAAACAGCTTCTCAAATCATTACAAAAGTTTTGAGGAGCTTCCATGTAAATATATGAGGACGAACAGCAAATACAGGGACTTGAGGAAAGAAGAACCCTGACATGCTCAAGGGACAGGAAGGAGGTCAGTAGGGCTGAACATAATGAGTAAGTAGGGAGGTAGCCAGGAGCCAGCACATGCAGAGCCTTGTAGGCCATGATATGGAGTTACACTCATTTGAGTGTAATCAGAAGCTGTTGAGTGGAGGGTGGATTACAGAATGAGGAGCAGACAAAAGTACAGGTAAAACACTCATTCAGTTATTTTAGTTGTGAAGAGAGTAAGAAGTCATATTGAGAGTATTACTTAGAATTAAATATGTGAATGCATTAAAATCCTTCTGCTGTATGTAACAGAAAATGCAACAAAAATGTCTTGAAAATAAGGAGGTTTATTTCACAAGATTAGAATTGGAAAGGTTCCAGGGACAGCTAAGATAGCTGCCCTCTATATGCACATTTCTTTCATCTTCTAGTTCCCTCTCATGTGCATGAGGACTGTGATGACTACACAAGCTCAGGCATCATGTTCTTACCAAGCAAACTAGACAGGAACAAGGAAGAGTATAGGCAGGAAAGGCATGTCTTTTTCAAAAGCAAGTCAACAAAAAGTACAGGAAATGTAGCTGTCTTTACATCACTGTGCTCAGGACCAGGTCATGTGACTACCCCTAATCAAATCACTAGCAAGTGAAAAGGAATTACCATAATTGATTTAGACCAGCAGTCCCCAACCTTTTTGGCACCAGGGACTGGTTTTGTCTCACAAGGAGCACCGCAGCCTAGATGCCTCACATGTGCAGTTCACCATAGGCTTCACACACCTATGAGGACCCAATGTCACTGCTGATCCGACAGGAGGTGGAGCTCAGGCAGTAATGCTCGCTCCCTGGCTGCTCACAGCCTGTTGTGCGGCCCAATTCCTAACAGACCACAGACTGGTACCAGTTCATGGTCCGGGGTTTTGAGACCCCTGATTTAGACCATCCATGATTCACCCCCCTCGGGTTGGGCAAGGGCCAGTCCTCTTCTAAATCACATGACTGATTAAAACTGAAATGTAATTGTCAATGAAGAGCAAACAGCCTCTTCTTGCTGGTAAACCAAGAGTGTTTACCTCAATATCATTTAAATTCTTAATAGAGGTCAGGCTGTGGATGGCACTGTGATGAAGGACCATAAAGGCAAGTTAAATACAAAATAATTCTTACTCTTCCTGTTGCTTGAAAATTCCCAGATAGCACTACAAAACCTAATTTACATGGGGGAAATTCTCTCTGAGCTCATGTGGTTAACATTCTAAAACTACTTTAAAAGGCATATATATACAATTAAATGATAGTGATGGAAAGAATTTTACCCCCTTAGAAATAACGTTGTTTAATTTTTTTTTTAGATTAGTTAGAGGATGTTTTAAAGGAGGCATAAATGAGGAGTGATAAATGAAAAGGTAATGAGTAAAGCTTGCTATTTAAAATAAGTGGAAAACAAATGGTCATTTGATTAATGTTTTATAAGTAATAATTATAAAATGAAGAAGCAAATTTCTCTAAAGTCTAGTGCCTATTGTAACTGGAAATCACTAAATGACATTTTATATTAGTTTTTAATTAGTTGCTAATTTTGGCAAAAAAGTAATAAAGACTATGCTGAGTAAAGTTTTTAAAATAGTTTTATCACTAAAAAGCTTAGTTAAAATCATAAATTCAAAATTACAAAATGAATTTTCATAATAAAATGTATTTTGATAGAGTAGAAAAATTTCTTGTCTTCTGCACAATTTTTAAAAATTAAAGTTCTCAAATTATGCCTTCACTGATGATATAGAAAATACTTAGGATGCCTAATAAGAATTTAAAGTACGTACCATCTTGGATTTCCCCTTTGCATTGAGCCAGATATATTACTTCAGTCCATGCAGCAGGAAGATGCACATGCCTTCCAGAGCCCAGGGTTTTGAGACCCAATTTTCTCTGTTATGAGGAAGCATGAAAAAGACAAATCAAAATGTACATATTTTTATATATATATTTATTTTTAACTCTTAATTGTGCTCCAAAAGTCATTCTATGAAGCTAATGCTTGGTGGCCAGAGTTGTATACAATTTTATATTTTTGCTTTTATTACTCAAATTTTTGGAGATTTTATGCAAACTGTATTAGTGTTAAGATGTAAAAAAGTTGATATTACAAGTAATATCATTAGCTATTTGCTGAAAATAATTCTCATTTTTTACTTTCTAGTGAGTACTTCCAATTTTCCCCCAAGGGAATGCATTTTTTTTATTGTATAAGGAAAAACATTGAAGAAATGTGATAAAACAGAAGTGAGTTTGATGCCAGTTTGCTGGAAAACCCTGGCTACTTCATTGTTGATATACGGAAGTTAATGAACTTGAGGGAGATGATCAGGATTGTTCCACTTCCCTTATTGTGCCCACTCCTGGGACTGTTGCAGGGAACACTTGCACAATTGGAGAAAAGTTCACTGATGAATGCACCTCCTGGCACCTGTCTGCATACACACTTATCAAAAGTATACTCTTTTTCTAATCAAATTTTTTTCAAAATTTTCAAATATATGGGCAGCCATGAACTGGAAAATAACACCACTACAACACCACAAAAAAGGTGGCTTAATTTATGCACCAGTTTTGTGCAGCTTTTATTTAATGAATTATTCATATCAAAGCAAAATATGTATGTTATTTCTCTGTAAAACTTAAACTGAATCCAATGTAAAAAAGGCAAAGCAAGGACTTACTTTACTTCCTGTTCTGTTTTGATATCTATTTGTAAATTTGGGGATTAATGTCATATTCTTAACGAATGTATTTTTCACAAGTTAGGTGAAGAATAGTTTGTTACAGAGAAAGAACAGAGTACTTTGTGCATGTATATAAAGGTTTAGAAAGGCCTTTTTCTCCTTTGAGACACAGCATATCTCAATTAACTTTTTTTAAAAAAATATAATTTTCATAATCAAAAATTTATTTGCCAGACTTAACGTTTTGCTATGGGCTGCTGGACTGGTATATTTCCACAAAAATTTACAGGGAGCTTTTATTATTTGGTTATAAGCTTTAATTTTAATTTGCATTAATATTTTAACTATCCCTACTTATAATTAAAGAAAGATATATTCTTATTTTTTCTTAAAATATTTTAGAATGTGTAATCATGTACCAACTAGAAAGGAAGTTAACATGCTCAACAATCAAATGATATGCCATTACCTTACATCTGAGAATGATTTTTCTAGCTAGTTCCAACAATTCTTCCTTCTCTTTGGAATTTTGTGTTTGATTGAATCTCAAGATGAATTCTTTTGTGATTGAAAATGTTGGCCTAAATAAAACATTGAAAAATTAACATTTAAAAAGTATAGCTATCACTTCCAAATTTCAATTAATCAACTTCCAGTGGCTATGTATAACTATATTCTAGCAAAAATACTTTCTTAATAAAACTGTTTCACACAAAAAAAATCAGTAAAAGATACATGCAAGCCTCCTGGACTGATCCTGTCATACTCTTAGATTGAGAAACATAATTCCCATTGTCAAAGACCTTTGCGGCCCCTGAGAAAAAGTTTCTGAGATGACTGCTAGAAGTCTTGTTGGTATAAGCCTTCTTTAGATAAAATCCAGCACGGCTTCAATTATGTTGAAGGCTGATTTATCTCCTCACATAAATCAGCATTGATTCATTTAAGCTAAACTTTTACTCCTTCTGTGCAAGTGGAATCAGCCCAAACATGGTTGGATTTGAGGGAGCAAGGGAAGAAAGAAGTATAAGTATGAAGTAAGGTCAAAGAGGTAGCAAGTAGCCATATTAACTACATGAGATGGGAGGCTACTGCAGGGTTTGAGAAGAGGCGTGGCATGATTTAACTTGAGCTTTAAGCAAATTTCTCCAATGCTATACTGAGAATTAGCGTGTAGGGAGGTGGGATGTAGCAAAAGGGGGAGCTTACATGTAGTTAGGTGGGACGTAATAGTGGCTTGGATCAGGATTACAGAATATAAATAAGGAGAAGAGTTTGGATAATGGATATGTCTTGACTTCGGCTCCAACCAGATTTGCCAATGAATTAGAAATTAGGCATGAGAGAAAGAAAGAAGTCGTGACTCAACTGAGGAACTAGAAGGACTGAATCGCTATTCACTAAGATGGGGAAAATTGTTAGAGAAGCGGATGTGGGGTGAAGATAGAGAATAATTTTAGTATTGGACATGTTATGTTTGAGATGATCATGGCCATCCAAGTGGAGATGGAGTGTAAGCAGTTGGATATATGAGTATGAATTTCAGGGAAAAATTCAGACAAGATATACCAATATTCGAGTCATCAGCATAGATATGGAATTTAAAGTCTTATGAATTAAATGGATCCCATAGGGAAAATGTAGAGAGAGTATACGAGAATTTCAAAGAAAAGTAGGACAAATAAGTTGAAAGTGTATGCAAGAGAACAAGTGAAGTGACAATAAGGATGTACCACAAAATTGAAGATGGGCATGGGACCAAAGTGATATCAAAGGAATAGTGAACAGTAGAATCAATGAACTGTGTTTTTGTGAAGTAAAATTATTGTTGGAGTCATGCTATTGGAAAGAATAATCTGAAAAAATAAAACATTTTAAATTACTGTATTTACTGAAATAGAATTTACTGAATTTGTTGCTCTGTGAGATAAATAAAAAAATGAATAGAAATCAGATTTTGTCCCTGAGTAATTCACAGTCCTACTGGGGAGACAGATCTACTAAAAATAACAGTGCCACATGATGACAGGCTGAACAAAGGTAATGATAAGGTGTTCTGTAAACTGGAATCAAATATAAGATATCCCAGAACAGAGCAATTAATGAAATAATCAACCCTTTAACTGCTATTTTTTAAATGGGCAGTTAAATAGCAATCTTAAAATAAGCATTTATTAATTCATTTACTAAGAATTTACTGACTGTCTTCTATATATCAGGCACTAAGTTTTGCATTGCGGATACAGTAGCAAAAAAGACAAATAATCCAGCCTTAGTGGAGCTTGCAGTACAATAAAGGAAGAGTTGAGGTGTTACAACATACAAAGTCTGTGATAATTGGGCATTTTGAAATAAGCAACCTCATCTTTGATTTCCTGATTTTCATTCCATTCTTGCTTTTGAAGATATTTGGTGAACACTGGCTGAAAATTGTTTCTCAATAGTCATCTGGGATAACATATTTTTGATCTATGTGAACCTACGCTACATAAAGTGTCCAAAATAACTTTAATCTTCTCATTTGTATGAAGAGTTTGGAAGTTAAAAAAGCCCCTTCATCCATTTAATTTTTATAATATCATTAGGAATTATGTTTTTAAAAATATGAAAATAACAGTGCTGTTTTTAATAACCCAAACATTCAGAGATGCATGATGAAAAAGTTAATAGATTGCTTCCCAACATTACTGCTTCCAATTCGAACTGTCAAGATTAACAGCCAAGATTAATGACTTATTGTGTATCTTTACATACCTTTCTCAGTGCTCACAAACCAACCAACCTATATACACACTTTACCAAAACTTCTGGGATGCAGCAAAAGCAGTAATAACAGAAAAGCTTATAATAATAAATACTCACATTACATGAAGAAATATCTGGAAAAAAACAGCTTAACTTTATACCTCAAGGAACTATAAAAAGAATAATCCTAAAGTTTGCAGAAAGAAGGAAATAATAAATATAAGAAGTAGAAATAAATTAAAGAATAAAAAACTAAAAATCATCAAAACTAAGAGCTGTTTTCTTGAAAAAATAAACAAAATTGAAAAACCATTAGCTAGAATAATCAAGAAAAAAGAAGTCAAATAAATAAAATCAGAAATGAAAGTGAAAACATTATAACAGATGCCTCAGAAACATAAGAAACTATTATGACCAATTATATACCAACAAATTGGATAATCTAGAAGAAATGAATAAATTCCTAGAAATTTACAAGCTACCAAAACTGAATCAAGATGAAATAGAAAGCCTAAACACACCAATAAAAAAAAAGATTAGATTAGTAATGAAAAACCTCCCAACAAAGAAAAGCCCAGGACCAGGTGGTTTCATGGTTGAATTCAAGCAAACATTCAAAGATGAATTACTACCAACTCTGTTAAACTCTTGCAAAAAATACAAGAAGGAACACTTCCAAACTCATTTTATGAGGCCAGCATCAACTTGATACTCAAACTGTACAAAGACACTAGGAGTAAAGAAAACTATAGGCCAAAGTCCCTAGTGAACGTCAATGCAAAAATCATAAATAAAATACTAGCAAAGCAAATATAATAACACATTAAAACAATTATACACCATGACCAAGTGAGATTTATCCATGGAGTACAAGGATGGTTCAACATACAAAAATAAATCAGTGTAATATACCATATTACCAAAAAAAAAAAAAAGGTCAACTCAACAGAGAAAAAAACATTTGCCAAAGTTTAACTTCCATTCATGATTAAAATTCTCAAGAAAATAGGTGTAAAAAGAATTTACGTCAATTTACTTTACAGAATAAAGACCATCATATCAAAAACCACAGCCAATATCATAATTAATGAAAGAAAACAGAAAACTTTGCCTCTAAGACACTATACAAGACAAGGATGCCCATTTCTACCACTTCTTTCATCACAGTACTGCAAGTCTTAGCCAGAGCAAGTAAGTAAGAATAAATAAATAAAAGGCATCCAAATTGGAAAAGAAGAAAATTATCACTTCTTGCAAATGACATATATGTAGACATTCCTAGATAATCCACAAAAATCTCTTAGAACTAATAAATGAATTCAATAAAGTTACAGGATAAAAAGGGAACATACAATAATCAGTAACATTTCTATATATAAACAATGAACTATCCAAAATAGGAAATGGAGAAAACAATCCTATTTATAATAGCAACAAAAATAATAAAATACTAAGGAGTAAATTTATCAAAGAGGTGAAAGACCTGTACACTGAAAATTATAAAACATTTATAAAGGAATTTACAGAAAACACAGAAAAAAAGACCTGTAAAAAACAAAGAAGACATAGAAAGACATCCTGTGTTCATGGATTGGAAAACTCAGCATTGTTAAAATGTCCATATTACCCAAAGAGATCTAAGACTCAATTCAATTGCTATCAAATCCCAATAGCATTCTTTACAGAAATAATAATAACATTCATATGGAACTACAAAGACCTTGAATAGCCAAAACAATCTTGTGCAAGATGAACAAAAATGGAGGAATCACATTTCCTGACTTCAAAATATTACAAAGCCACAGTAATTAAACCAGCATGGTACCGGCATAAAAAAAGACCTAAAAGCCAATGGAGGAGAATCAAAAATCCAGAAATAAATCCATATATCTACAGTCAACTGATCTTTGACATGGGTTGAAAGAATACACAATGCAGAAAGGACAGTCTCTGAATATCTACATGCAGAAGAACGTAATTAGACCCTTATCCCACACCATGTTCAAAAATCAGTTCAAAATGATTTAAAGACTTAAATGTAAGGCCTGAAACTGTAAAACTACTAAAAGAATGCATAGGGAATATACTTCTTGATATTGGTCTTCGCAATAATTTCTCCACTATGAACCCAAAAGCAAAACTAGACAAGTGGGATTGCATCAAACTAAAAATCTTGTGCACAGTATAAAAACAATCAACAGAGTGAACAGGCAATCTACGAATTGATAGAAAATACTTGCAAACCATGTATCTGAGAAGGTGCTAATATCCAAAATATTTAAGAAACTAAAATAAATCAATAGCCAAAAAGAAATGACCTGATTAAAAAATGTACAGAGGACCTGAATCGATATTTCTCAAAAGACCACATACAGATGGCCAACAGGCATGTGAAAAGGTTTTGTTTTTTTTTCTTCTTCTTCTTCTTTTTTCAACTATTTTAAATTATCAGAATTTAAAAAAATATATTACTATGGTATACTGGAAGTATAAGTTGTATAGAGACTTCCAGAGAGTTATAATTCATTTTATGCATTTTTTGCAAATTTGCCTACACGAAAGTGCACTATCACCACACTGACTTTGTGTGCAAGCATTGTATGTGTACAAAAAAACTTGAAACTTTCTCAGTAAATGAAGAGATGTCCTTTTGTACAGCTGCATTTGTGAAAAATAAAATTTATTGAGATCTTGGTTCTTTTAGGTGACTGCGCATGTGGTATTGACCCATCATAGTTTGTGCCAATCTTGTCAAGACTTACAGTGTTCATCAAAGAATGTCAGATGACCACAGTTATAAATTTGGGTGGACACAATTACCAACCATAGTAATATGCACTTACACATTTCCTTTTGTCCAATTTTTATGAATATGGTTTATCACTCACAACTGTTATACCTACGCAATGTCCATTAATATACCTCTTTATGTTTGCAAAAATACGTATGTTATTATTGCTTATTTTATTGTGTAAAAATATGAAGTTTTTTGTCGTGTTTTTATGTGTTTCACAAATAAATCTCCTTTTAAAAATGTAAATAAATATCACTTAAAGAATTTTTAAAATATTTCCCAGAATTATATTTTTGGGATTTTCATCCTTCCAGATTATAGCAGTCAGCTCCTAAAGTTCAATTGATCTTAATATGCAGAATATAGATGTACTTCAACAAATCCAATAATTCCTTTATTGATTGACATTTCACATTACTTCCTATAAAATGTTGGTTGTGCTAACCAATGCAGTAATAGTAATCATCATCATAAAAACAGCCTTATACACTGATCTAACATTCAACAGGTGCATACTATTCTGGTTTATCAGCCCCCACACTATATCTATAGTTAAATATTTTGGTTACCACCTCTGCTTATAAATACATTTATACATATCATTATTTTATTACTATAAGACTGTGTCTTCCAAAAAATGAATTAGAAAGTATAAGAGAATGAAAAGGCAAAATTTTAAGTGGTAGAACATATTTTCAACATGTAGTTGATAAAGGACTCATATACAGAAGATACAAAGAACTCCCAATAAATAGAAACATGGAGAAAAGCCTTAAAAAGGGAAGTCACAAAGGAAGAAATCCAAGTGGCCAATAAATATGGAAATAATCATCAAGATAATAGGGAAATTCAAATTAAAACCAAAATTAGATGCTACTTCACATTCACCAGAAGGGTTAACACTTAAAAGAATGCCAATACCAGAAATTGAAGAGAATATGGAGTAATAGAAATTCTCACAAACTGCGTGTGGTTGTGTAAATTGGTAAAACCACCAACTGGAAAACAGTTGGATGTTTTCTATCAAGATTCAAGACAGACATACACACTGACTTAGCAATATCACAACTTTATATATATCCAATAGAAATATGTCCTATGTACCAGGGAACATGTATAAGAATGGTCACAGCAACGTTTTTCATAAGGGATAAAATATGGAATCAAACAACATTCTATCTTGTGAACCAAAAAGTATGGTATGTTTGTGAATAAAGGGTGAAGCAAAATGTTCTTTCTTTTTATAATGCATAAATTTGAGCTTGGGTTATTTTCTAATTCCATTCCCCTAAAAAAATAGCAAAAGTGGATGTCAGCTGTGTTACTGGGACCACCGCTTATGGTAAAACAAACAAACAAACAAACAAACAAAACTCCTGATTGACACATTATACCTAGACTGTGAATAAACTATAAATACCTTATTAGGAGAATCTTTGGGCTCTCCTAAACGCATGTTCTTTGCAGGACTTTTTAAGTCATTGATTCCACTTTGGGACACAGGATTTTAAGGTTATCTATCTATTACACTCAGCTCTCTAAGTCTCACATTCTTACATGCACAGTCATTTGGAGTAGCTACAGAAGACTAGCTCCCATTTCTGTTCTGTTGAGAACTCTTTCAGAAGGTAAACAGTTGCTGGTGTGCTGGCATGCTGTTCCCTGTGCTGTATCCTGCTAAGTGAGGTCAGCGGTTAGTGTGGCCTATAATAATCATATTAGTCTGTCTAGTTGAGCTTGAAGACCCAAAGGTAAGTATTCAATGTCAAGGGAATGAAAAATTAAACAAACTGCAACTATACAAACAATATAGACGATCTTACAAACATATAGAATATACACTACAATATTACATTTATATAAAGCATAAAACTGTAAAGAAAAAGAAAATTTGGGAGAGTAAAAACAGTTAAGGAAAGAAGGATTTTTTTAATTGGTTTATATGTTGATGAAGACAGCACTAGGATTTCTTTATTTAAAAGGGTTACACAAAAGTTTTCTGAAAATGATTTTATGTCTTCACCTGGTGAATACACAAGTATTTGATTTATAATAATTCATTAATCATTATATTTATGTTCATATAGTCTTCTGTATGTGTTAGCATTTCACAACAAAAAATATACAAGTGTTTATACTTTTAATTACAAGAGTATGTATACTTTTAATTATAGCAGATTAAAAAAATATCTTCCAAAAATATTCTAGTCGTTCATATTCTAGTAAAGCATATACTAGTAAAGCACAACAACTCTCATTTTCCCACATCCTCACCAGAATGATATCAGTTGTTTTGATAATTGCATTTGATTGATGCAGGTATTTCCTTATGGTTTAAAGTTTGTGTTTCCCTAACTACTAGCATTCCTGAGAATCTTTTCGAGTATGAAGGGCCTTACATTCATTTTTATAATGCCTATTCTGTGGCATGCATTTTTATATATTTGTTCACTTTTTACTTATTAAGCTTTTTTGTCTTTTTATTAAAAAATCAATGTATGGCAATATAGTTATAGTGGTTATGTGCACCATCCCAGGAGCCAGACTTCCTGTGGTTTGAATCTGACTTTGTCCTTTAACATATTTTTAAACTTCAGTAGTTTATTATGCCTTAATTTCTTTGCCTGTAAAATGGAAAAATAAATAGAAATATTTCATGAGTTGCTTTGAAAGTTAAATGAAATAATGCATGTACTGTACTTAGAGGAGTGCCTGGTACATGCTAAATATTTAATTAATGGTAACTGGTACTACTATCATGAAAATTTTGCAAATGTATGTTGTAGGTATTTCTATCTCAGTATAATATTTATCTTTGTTCATTGTTATGATAACTTTAGTCATAAATTAAAATTTTATATTTATATATGATTTTATTTTCCTTTATAATGTCTGGGATTTCTCACTTAGATGATTTCCCTCTCTCCAATAGTATACAAACAGAAATCTAAATTTTCTTCTAATAAATTTTTATACTTCTATTTTTAACATATTCAGAATTTCAAAATGTTGAGAAGTAGAAATTGATACAAATGAACTGCTTA
The DNA here is from genome assembly GCF_000001405.40 of Homo sapiens. Taxonomy (NCBI): domain Eukaryota; kingdom Metazoa; phylum Chordata; class Mammalia; order Primates; family Hominidae; genus Homo; species Homo sapiens. The sequence goes on from NC_000005.10 coordinate 110,650,374, forward strand.
CAGTGACCTCCTTCCAAAGAGTACAGTAAGCCAAAGGGAGGAGGAAAAATAGTCACTCTCAGTAAAAAAACAAGGAACACTGCTCCAGCCAGGTGATCAAAATCAACATCAGCAGTGATAAATTGTTTTGATTGTATGTACCCCTGATGTGATGTGATGAGAATGGTGCTTAACCTCAGGTCTCTCTCACAGAAACTGGTAAACCCAGTATAATCATGAGAAAAACATCAGAAAAATTCCAACAGGAGAACATTCTACAAAATGCCTGACTAGTACTCTTCAAAATTGTCATGGTCATTAAAAACAAAGTCTGAGAAACTGTCCCAGCCTAGAAGAGCCAAAGGAGACATTATAACTAAATGTAATGTAGTGTCCTGTATGGGATCCTGGAACAGAAAAAAGGAAATTAGGTAAAAATTAGAAAAATATGAATAAAATATGGCCCTTAATAGTCATGTATTAACATGGTTCAATATTGCGACAAATGTATCATACTAATGTAGGATGTTAGCAATAGGAGAAACTGAGTGCAGGGTATAGGGAAACTCTCTGTACTATCTTCTTACATTTCTAAAACTGTTCTAAACAATAAATGTATTTTACAAAAATAAATGTTGACAAATAAAAAATGGGAGGTGATAAAAAATCACTTCAAGATACAGCTTACCAGTCATTTTCTAATTTATTGATTCATTCTATATTAATTAAATATCTGCTATGAGTCAAGCACTCTGCTAGGCAAGAGGACACAAAACGGAAGTGAATCAAAACCTGATAGGCAGTCACTTGTCTCATGGGTCTTATACTCTTTTGGGAGAGAATATACATCCAATAAACAAGAACACCATATATCAACATGGTGTTTTCTGAAAGTGATCCATGCTGTGAAAATTTAACTAGAGTGATGTGGAAGAGACTATCGGGAAAGGTGAGACTTTGCACAAGGCAGTCAGGGAACATCATGAGGGAGAGACATTTGAGTTGAAATGAGAAAGAGACAGAAAGCAAGAGACAAAGAAAACAAAAGACTTAGAAAAAGAAGAGTGGGGGAAGGAAGGAAGGGAAGGGGAGGAAAAGGGAAAGGGAAAGGGAAAGAGGGAAGGAGGGAGGGAGGGAAAGAACATAAAGGAAAGAGGTTAAGAGATCAAGGAGCGGGCTGGGGACTAGTTCTCTCAGGGTATTTAAACCATGGGGTAGAGTCTGTATTTTACTCTGGATGTAATGGAAAGATATTACAGGGTTAAAATTAGAGCATGACACAATTTTGTTAACATTCTTAAAACATTACTGAGACTGCTGTTCAGAGAACAAGGGGGTGAGAGCAGAAACAGGGGCACCAGCAGGAATGTGTGGCAAAATGACAGGAATTAGAGCATGTTGACTTGGTTATGGGGTGGGGCAAGGGATGGAGGCAGTGGACATGAAGAAACTGTGCTTCAGGTCGCATAATTACAAAGGGCCAGAAACTCACCTCAAGTCTACCTCTAAAGCCTATAAAAATCTGCCCTATAATGTAATATTAATGTACCCGCCTTATATTCCCTGATGTAACTTTAGGTGCTTAAGTTTATTTTTACTGTTGTACATAGAATTTGCTTAACAAACATCTGGTGTTTGCTTTATATATACTGCTTGAAATGTATAAAATGTACTTTGTTTTACAAGAAGAAATAGGAGGCTGACAGAGGTTAAGTATCACACTCAAGGTTATATCTTGAAAGTAAACTGAGCCAAATGTGAAATGAACTGTCTGACTCAAAGTCTTTGCATTTAGCTGTTTTTCTAAGATCCCTAAGAATGATTTATAGTATAATAATGTGCAATTCATTCTTCTTTTAAAATAATAGTAAATTCAATTCAATTTGATTTCCCCATTACCAACCACAGACAACCCCCAAGCACACAAAAGTGCACGCGCGCGCACACACACACACACACACACACACACTATCCAGGGTTTCAAATACAAATTAAAATTACATTTTCTGAAATTAGTTTGTCTCAGCTTTTTCATAGGCTCTAGGGAAAACATAGTTATGTCATTTTATTTCTAAAGCAAGATAACAGGCTTAGGATGAAAATAATATCTAATTCAATTTCTATGTTCAAACTACATTGTATAATAATTTTAGTTTTGTCCAACATTTTTCAATATGGATTATGGCTTGTAATACATCATTGAAAACATGGAAAGCTAATTATTTTTAACTTTCTATGTAAATCCTGAGTCCTTTAATTGGTCTCCTACAGATCATGTTAATAAATATTTAGTGAGAGATAAACATAGCTATTTTAACCAATTCCTGCCCATCACAATAGACATTATTGTAAAAATTAAAACTTATTTAGTGACATATATAACACATGGTAAGAAGCAAAAGGAAACTTCTAAAAAGTAAATACAGGCATTTCAAAAAACAGACTTAGGCTTCACGCATTCCAATTTCTCTGAAATATCAAAGGATTTCACAAAGATAATCTAGTCTAAATATGTAAGAGCAGTCCTGTGGAACACACAGTAAATAAAGATCATTCTAATTTTATTTATAAAATATTTATACTGAAGTCTCCTGGTTAAATAGGCATGCCATCCAAACTGACTGTATTTACATTATCTGTGAATTCTGTGATAATGTGAATATCTGTGAACTTTTTAAGCTGACAATTCATTTGTTCAATAACTATTTAATGAAAGCCTCCTACATACAAAATATTTTGCTAGATACCATGAGCGCTAGAAGATAAATCAGGCCTGGCCTCAGGAAGTTCCCATTCTGGGAGGGAAGTGAGACACTTCACAGTGATGAAACATAAGGAGATGTTCCTTAAAAAAGAAATAAAATTCTGTGGGAGTTTAGAAGCAGAGATCATGATTCCAACACTTCCATGTCCTATAATCTTTGCTGAATCACTTAATCTGTGGGAGCTATAATTTTCCATCTGTAGAAACAGTGAAAAAATCTTGCAGAATTTTGGAAAGCATCAAATCAAGCCACACAGCCTAGTTCCTGGCATATATTCAGTGCTGTAAAACTGTTAGTTATAAGCATTACTCTTTTTGGTGAGATTCAGAAAAAGCTTCTTTGTGGAAATAGCATGTGATCCTTGAAGCCTTGGCAGGAACTCGAAAGGACAGAATAGCAGTTGTCCTTTCAAAGTTCTTTCTCTGCTTTTTCCTGGGCACATGATCACCCAGAATTTAGAGATTAGGTGGAGGTCAAGCTAAATCAAGTTAAAATTGATCTATCTAAATCAATAGGGCATGATGAATAATGGGATATGAGAAAAGAAATCATGATGTCAAGCATACAGATAAACTCAATGTTTTTGGCCCACATGACTGGAAGTAGAAAGATGACATCAAGATAATTGGACGGGAGGAATCTGAGCAGATGATCTGTGCCATTCTGGGCATAGAGAGGATGATTTACCTATGAGACATCCAAGTGGAAAGGTTTATAATCCAAAAGGACTTGTAAGTCAAGCATGAGGAAATGGATAAGATCCAGAAATAAAGATTTCAGATTCACCGACATATCAGTGATGATCAAAGCCTTAAAATTTCAAGAGGAAGAATACTAAGAAAAAAATAATTAATCAAAGGAAAGTTTTTGTTTGATGAAGCCCAGAGTTAGGAAACAAGAGGGAAAGAAGAAACAGTAAATATGAGAGGAGATTCAGGAAAGTACTACAATGGAATTGAGACGTATATATAATATGGGGTGCAAATTCCTTCTCTGAAAAGTGTTCGTTATTAACAGTCCCTGCTGCACTGGGGCCTAAGTTCTGTATTAGTCCATATGACTTCATGCCCCCTGGCCATTGCTGATTTTGTCACAGTACACATCTGATGCCAGCTGGGCCAATTCAGGTCTCTTTCTAAGGATTTTAAATAAAATGATACTTTAGGTCTAATGTTTAAGTCTTTAATCCATCTTGAATTAATTTTTATATAAGGTGTAAGGAAGGGATCCAGTTTCAGCTTTCTACATATGGCTAGCCAGTTTTCCCAGCACCATTTATTAAATAGGGAATCCTTTCCCCATTGCTTGTTTTTCTCAGGTTTGTCAAAGATCAGATAGTTGTAGATATGTGGTGCTATTTCTGAGGGCTCTGTTCTATTCCATTGATCTATATCTGTTTTGGTATCAGTACCATGCTGTTTTGGTTACTGTAGCCTTGTAGTATAGTTTGAAGTCAGGTAGCGTGATGCCTCCAGCTTTGTTCTTTTGGCTTAGGATTGACTTGGTGATGTGGGCTCTTTTTTGGTTCCATATGAACTTTAAAGTAGTTTTTTCCAATTCTGTGAAGAAAGTCATTGGTAGCTAGATGGGGATGGCATTGAATCTATAAATTACCTTGGGCAGTATGGCCATTTTCACGATATTGATTCTTCCTACCCATGAGCATGGAATGTTCTTCCATTTGTTTGTGTCCTCTTTCATTTCATTGAGCAGCGGTTTGTAGTTCTCCTTGAAGAGGCCCTTCACGTCCCTTGTAAGTTGGATTCCTAAGTATTTTATTCTCTTTGAAGAAATTGTGAATGGGAGTTCACTCACCTAAAAACCATAAAATCCCTAGAAGAAAACCTAGGCATTATGATTCAGGACATAGGCATGGGCAAGGACTTCATGTCTAAAACACCAAAAGCAATGGTAACAAAAGCCAAAATTGACAAATGGGATCTAATTAAACTAAAGAGCTTCTGCACAGCAAAAGAAACTACCATCAGAGTGAACAGGCAACCTACAAAATGGGAGAAAATTTTTGCAACCTACTCATCTGACAAAGGGCTATTATCCAGAATCTACAATGAACTGAAACAAATTTACAAGAAAAAAAACAAACAACCCCATCAAAAAGTGGGCAAAGGATATGAACAGACACTTCTCAAAAGAAGACATTTATGCAGCCAAAAGACACATGAAAAAATGCTCATCATCACTGGCCATCAGAGAAATGCAAATCAAAACCACAATGAGATACCATCTCACACCAGTTAGAATGGCTATCATTAAAAAGTCAGGAAACAACAGGTGCTGGAGAGGATGTGGAGAAATAGGAACACTTTTACACTGTTGGTGGGACTGTAAACTAGTTCAACCATTGTGGAAGTCAGTGTGGCGATTCCTCAGGGATCTAGAACTAGAAATACCATTTGACCCAGCCATCCCATTACTGGGTATATACCCAAAGGACCATAAATCATGCTGTTATAAAGACACATGCACACGTATGTTTATTGCGGCACTATTCACAATAGCAAAGACTTGGAACCAACCCAAATGTCCAACAATGATAGATTGGATTAAGAAAATGTGGCACATATACACCATGGAATACTATGCAGCCATAAAAAGTGATGAGTTCATGTCCTCTGTAGGGACATGGATGAAATTGGAAATGATCATTCTCAGTAAACTATCGCAAGGACAAAAAACCAAACACTGCATGTTCTCACTCATAGATGGGAATGGAACAATGAGAACACATGGACACAGGAAGGGGAACATCACACTCTGGGGACTGTTGTGGGGTGGGGGGAGGGGGGAGGGATAGCATTAGGAGATATACCTAATGCTAAATGACGAGTTAGTGGGTGCAGCACACCAGCATGGCACATGTATACATATGAACTAACCTGCACATTGTGCACATGTACCCTAAAACTTAAAGTATAATAAAAAAAAAACAATACTTTAATTGGCTGAGGTTAGAACTGAAAGGTTATGTACAGCCAAAACCTATGGCTGTTGCTGACAACTTTTTCAAGACAACAAATAACAAAGCACCTTCAATTTCAGAAAGCTGCATGTTCACCATTGTAGCCCCCAATCAACGTTTGCCAAATGATTTACTGATGTAAATCTACAGTTTTTATCCTTTTCAAGTTGATCATAGTGTACATGCAGACTATATCTGCCAAGCTGGCCATTTTATCTCCACGTGTGTTGAGTACTGAAAGACGGAAAAAGGCCTAGCTATAGCTTCTGCTCTCAAGTTCCACAACACAGCCTTATATCCTTATGTTAATTTTTTTTTGTTTGAGTTAGTTTGAACGTGTGCCTGTTTCATACAAACAAGCATCCTAGACTGAGATATCAAAGAATACATTAAAGATAAAGACAATGATAGAAAATGTACATCCACAGAAATATCAAGACTAAATACAAAAAGAAAGTCAGGCCAGGCACAGTGGCTCACGCCTATAATCCCAGCACTTTGGGAGGCTGAGGCGGGAGGATCACGAGGTCAGGAGATCGAGACCATCCTGGCTAACAAGTGAAACCCCGTCTCTACTAAAAATACAAAAATTAGCTGGGCGTGGTGGCAGGGCACCGGTAGTCCCAGCTACTCAGGAGGCTGAGGCAGGAGAATGGCATGAACCCAGGAGGCGGAGCTTGCAGTGAGCCGACACTGCACCACTGCACTCCAGCCTGGGCAACAGAGCAAGACTCCATCTCTAAAAAAAAAAAAGAAAAAAAAGAAAGAAAATCATTAGAGTTAATATTTTAAAAGTCAGTGGAGATATTTTTAATTCAATTTTTTATTTATAACCAAAACATAATAATTGTACGTATTTATGGGATAAAATGTGATGTTTCAATGCATGTGTTCATAACTTAATGATAAAATTGGGGTAAGTGCCATATCCATCACTTTCAATATTTATCATTTCTTTGTGGTCACAACATTGAAAGCCACCTCATCCCAGCTAGAATGGCTATTATCAAAAGTAACAAATAGAAGAAAAGAAAACTCATACATTGTTGGTAGGAATGTACGTTAGTACAGCCATAATGAATAACACTATGGAGGTTCCTCAAAAAACTAAAAATAGAACTGCCATATAATCCAGCAATCCCATTACTGGATATATATCCAAAGAAAATATAATCAGTATGTGAAAGAGACATCTGCACATCCATGTTTATTGTAGCACTATTCACAGTAGCCAAGATACAGAATCAACCTATATGTGCATCTAATGATGAATGGATATCTATCTGAGTGTGTGTGTGTGTGTGTGTGTGTAGTAGAATACTATAAAGCCATAAAACAGAATGAAATCCTGTCATTTGCAGTAACATGAATGAACCTGGATAACACTATGTTAAAGCACAGAAGGATAAACACCACATGATCTCACTCATATGTGGAATCTTAAAAAGCTTATTTCATAGAATTAGAGGGTAGAATTGTTGTTACCAGAGGCTGGGGAGGGTTGAGGTTGGAGGGAACTGGGAGAGGTTGGTCAATGGGTACAAAGTTACAGTTAAGAAGAATTTGTTTTCGTGTTCTATTACACAGTAGGGTGACTATAGTAAATAACAATGTATTGAATATTTCAAGATAGCCAGAAGAAGAGATTTTGAATGTTGTCACCACGAAGAAATAATACATGTTTAAAGTGGTGGAGATCTTTAAAACAGCAGTTTCATTAGAGAAAAACAGAACCCAGATTTTAGGGTGCTAATCAATATATAGAGAAACAAAAATATTAAATATTGACTACTCTTTTGATAAGTTTGGTACTATGAAAAGGAAAAAAATGAAATTGAGATAGAAATTTCAAATAACAATTAATATGGCTTCTCCTAAGTATCAGAAGTACCAGCAGAATGAAAGAAAGGTCTGCTCCTTTTGGTGTGTATATTACGTTTGAATGTTTGAGGAATTCAGGGACAGATTTAACAATCTGAAGGGAATAAATAAAGAGCAGGTGATATGAACACCTGCAGAAATTCATTCTATGAATACCTCCCTTGAATTTGTCATTTCTGACTCACTGATTTGGGGTCTGGGCTTTTGAAGTCAGACACTGGAAATATCCTCTGTCATCCTGATACCCGTGTGATTGATTACAGCATCATCACATTATAGATATCCAAAGGCTTTATGATATGAAACCAGAAATACAGTCCTCATTTCATTTCTAAAAATATCTACGGTTTTATATGTTCTTTTATTGCCTTTGTGTTTCTTTAGATTTTACGTTTCTGTTTCAGTCTTAGCAAATGGAATACCGTCTTAAGCTTTGAAAATGCAAGCCCTCCTTCTTGGTAGTTATGAATAAAGAAAACCCTAAACAGATTAGGGGAGAGGGGACTGTTGACACCCACTGAATTTTGAGCAGAGAGCCATTTAGAAGAAAATTGAAGGCTGAAAATATTTTCAAGAATAAAAACCTACTTCCTTTTCTAAATGATTGCTGTTATACTTAGAAACATTCTATACTACATTTGGTAACAGTCATGATCTTTTCAAGGTTGTCTGTAAGAAGCCCACTTAGAAACAACTAAGCTTCTAAACTGTAATGTCATCTCTTGTGAAATGTAATTATTAATCCCAAAGAGGGTTAATTGGTAGGCATAGGCAACAATACCCAAATTGATGTATTTAACTACCAAAGATGGACAAATTGCCTGCATTCTTTGGCTTAAAAAAAGACCTTCAAAGTTTATCTTCATCATTAGCCAATGAAAAGAAAAGTAAATTAGTCTGACAGATTCATCTTAAAACCATGCATATAAATTTCTTTTTGACAATGGGTTAATCTTCCACTGAAGCCACAAAGAAAGGTTTGATGAAAGCAAGGACAACCCTTCTTGGGGAAGAGCTCACCTGAAATGTAAGGGCAACAATACCTCAAAAAAGGAAATGGAATAGAACCCTCAACATGCTTATTTTCTTCCCATAATATGCGTCTTTTGCCAGAGAACTCTGTAAATCAGCTAGTTCAAGTAGAGATACAGGTGTTAGGAAAGGAGTCAAGTCTGAGTGACCAAAGTAGGTGTCAGTGGATAAATTAATAATCATAATAATTGTAGTGTAGTTTCCTTTAGGATTATCGGTATAAAGTATGTAATGTCTTGCAAGATCCCCTCTTCCTAACCTCAGGAAGCCACATAGAAGGCTACCTTGGTGTCCAGCAGAAAAAGAATGAGAATGGAAAAGAAAAAAGAACTATTACTGAGAAGATTGGTCCCAACCCAGATTTATACCCTAGACAAACATAGATTGTTGGCCAAGAAAACTCAGGCAGTGAATTTAGTTTCAGTTGTCCCAGGCTGGTACACTTACAGGTGCCTGGGAGAGAAGCTAATGCAAAGATTCACTGGAGGAGGATGCATTTCTCCTACTTCTCAAAAAACATGCAGAAATATTTTCCATCCAAAGGAAAATGAGTAATGACAAGATACAAGGGAAAATATGGCAGAAATGAGAACAAGCAGAAACAACAAACCTACTAAGACTCCAGTCACTGAAATAATCAGACACATATTATAAAATTATCATGCTCATCCCACCACATGCTTAAAAAGATCTGCAGGGAACCAGAAACGTTAAGTCTACATAACAGATTTGAAGAAAACTAAATAAATTAATAGAATGTAAGATATAATTTGTTAATTCAATGGATACATTTGAGAATGGGAAAATTAGTCACATCAAAGACAAATCACAGATCAGAATAAAATGTTCAAAATACAGTAGAAAGTGACAAAAATTTGGAAAATGGAGAATAAAGAGTAAAAGATGTAACAGATTTAATGAGATGATCTCATACACATTTATTCAATAGTCTCAGAAGGAGAGAAAAGAAAAAAAGGGGTTGTCAATGCAATATATGTATAAATAATACCCAATAATTTTTCAGGAATGATAAAAGAAAGATACATCCATAGATTCAAAAAGTTCCATCAAATCTAAGTAAGATAATTTTTAAAATTATATTCTGACACATCATAGCAAAACTGAAGAAAACAGAAGACAATAAGAAACTTAAAATTACCAGGTTTGGGAGAAGGAAGCCAAAATAATCTTAAATAAATGACATTACAATTTCAGCTAACTTCTCAACAGCAATAATGAAAACTGTAAGAGAGTGAAATGATACCAACAATATTCTAGAGGAAAAAAGAATAAAAGTAATAATTGCTCAAAGATAATTTATGTTCAGTTTTAAACATTTTTCTAGAATAAGAATAAAAAATATATTCAGACAAACAAAACCTGGTATTTTTGTCAACAACAAAAATCTCAGTAAGGAAAATTCAAAAAATCTTACAGCAGGCAAATGATAAACAAGTCCAGAAAGGAGGCCTAAGAAGAAAGAAGAGTTAAAAAGCAATGAAAATGGCAAACAGGAAATAAAATAAAAAGAAACACTGATTACTTAAAATGGTAATAAAGTTTAGTGGGGATAAATTATAAAACACGTAAGGTAGAATACCAGATAGTTTGACAAAAAATATTATACTTTTTAAAAAACAAGCATGCTTAGATTTACCTTTTGCTTTATTATTTTTTATTTTTCATGATTGTGGATACATAGATAGTTGTACATATTTATGGGATACATGTGATATTTTGATACAAACATATAATGTTTAATGATCAAATCAGGGTAATTATAATATCCATCAATCACCTCAAGCATTTATCATTTATTTGTGTTAGGAACATTGCAATACCACTCTTTCAGTAATTTTGAAATATACAATAAATTGTTGTTAAGTTTAGTCACCCTATTATGCTCTTAAACACTAGAACTTATTCCTTCTGTTTAACTGTATGTTGTCCCCATTAACCAACCTCTCTTCTTCCCCACTTCTTCACCCTTCCCAGCTTCTGGTAACCATCATTCTACTCTCTACCTTTATGAGATCAATTTATTTTAGCACACACATGTGAGTGACAATAGCGGTATTTGTCTTTCTGTGCCTGAATTATTTTACTTAACATAATGTCTTCCAGTTCCACCAATGTTGTTACAAGTGACAGAATTTGATTCTTTTATGGTTTAATAATATTCCATTGTGTATATATATCACATTTTCTTTATTCATTTATCATGCATGGACACTTAGATTGATTCCATATCTTGGCTATTGTGAATAATGCTACAAGTAACATGAGAGGACAGATATCTCTTTTATTGTTTCTTCTCTTGAGGTAGGGTCTTGCTCTGTGGCCCAGGCTGAAGTGCAGTGGTGCAATCTTTGCTCACGGCAATCTCTACCTCTAGGTCTCAAGTAACCCCCCCCACCTCATCTTCCTGGGTAGCTGGGACTACAGGTGTACACCACCATGCCTGGGTGATTTTTGTAATTTTTGTAGAGGCGGGTTTTGCCATGTTACCCAGGCTGGTCTCAAACTCCTGGGCTCAAGCAATCCACTCAACTGGGCCTCCCAAAATGCTGGGATAACAGGTGCCCAGCACTCCACCATGCCTAGCCCAGATAGCTCTTTAATCTGCCAATTTCCCTTCTTTTGGGCACATATCCAGCAGTGGGATTATGGGATGATATGACAATTCTATTTTTGGCTTTCTGAGGAAACTCCAAACTGTTTTCCATAATGGCTATGCTAATTTACATTCCCACCAACAGTGTAGGAGCATTCCTCTTTCTCCACATCCTCACCAGCATCCATTACTGTCTTTCTAATAAACGCCAGTTTAGTTGGGGTGAGATAATGTCTCATTGTGGGTTTAATTTACATTTATCTGATGATTAGTGATGTTGAGAATTTTTTCATATATCTGTTGGCCATTTGTATGTCTTTTTTTGAGAAATGTCTATTTAGATCTTTTGCCCATATTTCAATTAGATAATTTGGGATTTTGTTATTAGGGTGTTTGAGTTCTTCATATATTCTGGTTAATAGTCCCTTGTCAGTCAAATGTTTAGAATATTCCTTTTAAGTCAATATTGAGACAAAGATATTCAGAATTAATAAGAAAATTTAGCAATATTTGTGTATGTAAAATCAATATATAAAAATTAACTTCTCTTTTCTGGTAAAAGTTAGAAAATACAAATTTTAGAAATCTATATATGCATATAATTTATAAATGGCATGAAAAATACTAAATACATAGAAATAAATCTAACAATGCCTCTGTGAACAATACTGCTATGAGAATGCTGGACAATACCTATATGAAAAAAGCAGTAAAACTGTATTGAGAAAATTTCATAAATAACTAAATAAATGAAGAGATATACCATGTTTATAAATTAGAATATGGTTATGATAAAGATGTTGTTTCTCCAAATTGATCTATAGATTCTTCAAAATCCAATTAAAAACTCCCTTTAATTTTTCAAAAACATAAATTATGACAAGCTGGTTTCAAAATTAATATGCAAGATACCACTGAGAAAAACAAGTTTGGAAAAATCTATCATCTTGACTATTACATGCTATTACCAAACCATAGTAATTAAGGCAGTGTGGCGTTGGTGTGGAATTAGACAAATGGGCCAGTGAAGCAGACTATAGAGCAGATAAGCATATCAATTACATGTGAATGCATGAGTTATACAATAACTGTACTACAGAAATAGTAGAGAAAGGATTTTTTCCATATGTCGTATTGATGAATTGAGTATGCACATTTTAAAAAGAAAATCAGACTTGTGCTTAATATTATTTACAAAAATTTCCACATAGATTATAGACATGAAAGATAAAACAATAAGGTTTTTAGAAAATAATATACAAGACTATCTACACGATCTTGTGGTTGGGAAAGATTTTTTTAACCAAAATACAAAAAAAAGGCTAATCATAAAAGATTGATATATCTGACTTTATAAAAATTAATAAGTTCTAGTCACTAAATTTTATATACATATCCTCTGACCCAGCAATTCCACTCATAAGTTTGTACATTAAGATGTATGCCATGATGCCCATACAGCAATGTATGAAACGTTCATAATAACCATAAATTGAAAATAATTGAAATGTCCAAAATTAACAGAATTAATGGATAATTTGCAGTAAGTTAATAAAATGCAACAGTGAAATGAAAAACAAGCAATAAAAATGATATAGCTACACTCAACATTAATGAATCTTAAAAACATAGTAACTATAACAATTTTTAAGACTTCCATATAATTAAAGGCACAACAAAAACAAAGTTAAAGGATAAGGCATACCTTGGGAGAATTTATAATAAATATTTAATAATACCAACATATTAATAAGAATAAGAAAACACATGGAAGTAATTCTAACAGCAACAAACATAAAAAGATATTTAGTAGCATAGTTATTAGGGAATCTTAAAAAATTCATTATAAGTGTCACTTTTGATCTATTATACTGGCAAAAATTAATAAATCTAAGACAATACCCATATGAAAAAAAACACTAAAACTGTATTAAGAAAATTTTATAAATAACTAAATAAATGGAGCGATATACCATGTTTCTAAACTATCATATGATTATGATGATTATGATAAAGATGTTAAGTCTCCCCAAATTGATCTGTTAGGTGTTGGTGAAGATAAGAGGAAGTGATACTCTCATACTCTTATAGACTGGGGAAGGAAATGTGTGTGTGTGTGTATGTGTGTGTGTGTGTGTGTGTGTGTGTGTATATACAATATTCAGATACTTTTGGAGACCCATAGAAAGCATCAAGCAAATTTTTAAAAATAATAAATCATAAATTATACTTAGCTGGGCACAATGGCTCACATCTATAACCCCAGAATTTTTGGAGGGTCAGGTGAGAAGACCATTTGAGGTCGAGAATTTGAAACCAGCCTCAGCAACAAAGCAAATTCCATCACTACAAAAAAAATTTTTTATTTATCCGTGTATGGTGACATGTGCCTGTGATTCTAGCTACTCCAGAGGCTGAAGCAGGAGGCTCTCTTGAGCCCAGGAATTCGAGGCTGCAGTGAGCTACGATTGTGCCACTGCACTCCAGCCTGGGAGATAGAGAAAGACCCTGTCTGTAAAAATAAAAATATAAAAAAAGGACACACCTGCACAGATACACAAGGAGAAATATGCAATGATTTTCACTATGGCATTGATTTTATTGTCAAAAATTTGGAAAATAATAAATAAGGAAAATTCATTATATTAGAATTTTTCAGCCATTAAAATGAAGAATATACATAATTACCAATATGGATTAAAGTTAAAATGTAGCATTGATTTTTTAAAAAGCAAGCCACAGATAAATGTATTAGGTAGAATTACATTAACAAATGTGAAAAATACAATTTCATATTCACGTATATTAAAGTAGAAAAATGAACTGGAATGATATCTGCCACAATTACTATAGTTGAAAGCACATATGGTTAAACAGCTGAAACTGTATCTCTTGAAGTATTCTTTATTCAAGAAAAGTATTGGAAACAAACGTAACAATATGTGTCACAGGCTACTGAGGCTTCTATAACAAAACAGTGTAAACTGGGTGACTTAAACATTTTATTTCTCCTAGTTCCAGAAGCTGGGAAATCCAAGATAGGGTGCCAGCATGGGCTGGTTTTGGTGAGGGCTGTGCTCTTGGCTTGCAGACAGCTGCCTTCTTGCTGCATCCTCACACAGAGGAGAGACTAAGTGCTGGTAGCTCTTCCACTTCTTGTAAGGACACTAATCTCATAATGAGAGCTCCACCAACGTGACCTCATCTATGCCCAATTACCTCCCAAAGGCCACACTTCCTAATACCATCACATTGGGTTACAATTTCACTTTGTTAACTCCAGGGCTTTTCAAATTTGTTTAAACGAAGAACCTAACCCCCTCCTTTTTAGCATAATATATGTTACTATCTGGTTTGCTATGAGATTATACTCTACTCTTTGTGAATTGTAGTGGCCATAATACACATTGAGGTTGGGACTTCAACATATGAATTTTGCAGGGACACTCACATTCAGCCCATAACAATAAGCCAACATCTTAAATTCTATTGTATGTATACCATTATATTTTTCTAAGTTTTCAGCAATTTCTTAAAATTTAAAAATCACACACAATTTTTAAATTATCAAGAAATTTTGATCTAGTAACAACACATTTTGATCTAGCAAGTTATTTTTCCTAATAAAAATTATGGACATTGAACAGAAATTAATATTTTAAAACGTGTTCCATGAGTTCATTCTGATGAAGCGGGCTGTATAGGTAGTGGTGGCAAGGCCAACTCTGTCTCTGTATTAGTCCGTTCTCACACTGCTATAAAGATACGACTTGAGACTGGGTAATTTACATACAAAAGAAGTTTAATTGACTCACAGTTCCGCATGGCTGGGGAGGCCACAGGAAATTTACAATCATGGCAGAAGGGGAAGGGGAAGCAAGGCACCTCTTAACATGGTGGCAGGAGAGAGTGAGAAGGGGGAAGCACCAGACACCTATCAAACAACCAGACTGCATAAGGACTCACTCACTATCATGAGAACAGCAAGGGGAAATCCATCCCGGTTATCCAATCACCTCCCACCAGGTCCCTCATTTGACACATGGGGATTATAATTCAAGATGATATTTGAATGGGGACATATAGCCAACCTGTATCAGTCCCCACTAATGCAGACTTATACTATACATGAGCATATTTTAAAACTGAGCCAGGCACAGTGGCTCATGCCTGTAATTCCAACTTTTTGGGACGAAAAGGAGTGCCGATCACTTGAGGCCAGGAGTTCAAGACCAGCCTGGGCAACAAAGCATGACCCCATCTCCACAAAAAAAAAAAAAAAAAAAAACTAAAAATTAGCCAGGCATACTGGCATGTGCCCGTGGTGCCAGCTGCTCAGGAGGCTGAGACAGGAGGATCATTTGAGCCCAGGATTATAGTAAGCTATAGGTTATAGCAAGGTTATAATAAGCTATAATCACGCCACTGCACTCCAGCCTGGATGACCCTGTCTCTAAAAATAAATTAATTAACAAATAAAAAAGCTGAGAACTTTTGGAGCAAAGAAAACAATTGCACTTTGTTAAATCCAGGGCTTTTGAAATTTGTTTAAATGCAGAATCTGACCTGCTCCTTTTTAGCACAGTATCTATTACTATCTGGTAGGCTGAAAAAGATTATACTCCATTCTTGATGAATTGTCATATCCACAATACACATTTGATATCATCAATTTAATCACTGTATACATAATTTGTTTCAATTTTTTTCTTTTAAACATTTCTATTGTATTCTACTATTCAGATACATTTAATTGACTTGGTCATTCTATTATAAAGCATTTGCTATTTTCAATTTTTAAATGCAATTAAAACTACTCTGAACATTTTTATACAAATTATTTTTCCTCTGTTTACCTACATCCTATTAGTAACAGGATTATCTAGTCATGGTTTGTATATTTAGGTCCTGTTGCTTTTTATTTGTAGCATCCTTGACCATTTAGATGCACTGACTAGGTTTACTTATTTCTTCAGCATATTATGTTTATATGAATAATAGCAAAACCATTCAGTTTTTTAATGATATATTTTGAATTTTATTTTCTTCTCTGTAGGATTCTAGGTGGATAACAACTTCTCCTGCTACTTTTTTTTACAATATGGATCACTATGGTATTGGGACAAGGATAGCACAGAAAACAACTAGAAAAAGTATATTATTTGTGACTGTAAAGTCTTTGTGAAAGTTCTTTTCAATTGCTCTTGCACTCATTGTAGAAACTTTATCCCAAGGAAATAATCTGAAATATTTCAAAATAGAAAAACATTCTATTTTGGCTAAATTTGAAATAGCAAAGGTCTTAGAACTAAATAAAATGCTTCATGATACAGGAGTTATCAAATATTTTCTCATGCAATCTATGCATTATTATGACAAATTAAGAAAACATATGAGTATAGATAATTATTTCAAACAAAACGTGTAGAATTCAAAATTTTAGAAAGCACATAATTACAATAAACAAGGCTATTAAACAAATAGTAAACTTTAAAATTTTAATCTTTGGTTAGAGAACTATGGGTGAATTTTTTTTTTCAGTTTTCTATATTTTCTAAATTCTCTACAATACATATGGGTCCTATAATTATTTTCTAGCTTACCTTGATTTATGACCCCTTTCTCCACTTAAATGTTGAAAATTTAATTTCCAGAGCTCTTCATGATAAGGGGAAGATATGCCTCCACATGTATTAATCATAGGTGATTTGTTAACAGGCATATTCATAAATCATAAATTCTAAAAGGAATATTAAATGTATGTTAGCATACAAATGCACTCATAGTATCAAACAACATGTTATGCAAATTCATTATTTTTGGAAAAGAATAGCAAGAACTAAAGTTAGGCTTAAGAATAATTCTATATTAAGGAAGAATTTAAATAAATAAGTAAACCATAAGGATATGGAAATAAGTACAAAAAGTTACTATTATAAGTATATATATCCAGTCTTTATTATGCTTTAGCAGTTTTATCAGCAAAACCATTGAAACAGCAGCATGGCATGGTAGCTAAGAGGATAGGCCATACAACCAGACTAAGTGCTCTGTGCCTCAGCTTCCTCACCTGTAAAATGAGAATGGTATTTCCTCATAGAGTTCCTGTGAGAAATAAATAGTTCAATATATGTAAATTGCTTAGAATGAGCCTAGTATATAGGAAACTTTATGTAATCACTTGTGATCATATCACTGTTGTCTGTTCTTTAAAGTTTCTTGTAAATTCCTTTTCATGTCTCCTGTCTTTTCGTCATTTAGATAGTGCTTTCTCTGCTTGTTTTTACGCCCAGAATGTTTTTCCTTTTGATTCATATCTGAGTATATTCTATGAGTGTATGACCAAAACTAAGACATCCTATTTGTGTTTAGTGGAGATTTAGTCAGCAAAATGAAGTAATGAAATGGGTAGTCATATCTACACTGCATTATTTGTCTTTCATTTTTTTAAATAGCTAAATTTAAAAATTGATCATTAGATTAGTCAAAGTTTTGGCAGGAAATGCAGGGCACACTCAAATATGGTACCTGAATGAAAGAATTCTTCCCAAATACATGGGCAGAACTACAAAACAAGATGGTTGTATTCTCAGAGACTAGAAAGAACAAAATAAACTGTTATCACTCTTAGGGCTAAAGAGGAAGATAGACCAAGACAGAACAGCTATTAAAGAGTTGTGCTTAATAAAAAGCTTTGGCCTTTAAGTGAGAAATGCAGCTAATCTGAGGTTGCCCTCTAAGAGGGAGCCTGGAGGATAGAAACTCCAATCTCACTCTCCTTGCGTGCTCCATTCCAGTCATCCGCCTGTGCTACTCATTTGCCAAACCAAACTAGAAGCCAGAAAGTACAGGGGCAAAGTGAAGAAGAATGGAAAGCAGATCTGAGTGGCAATGGGAAAATATCCAGCAAAATATGGATCACAGACACAAAATGTCATTGTCTATTGCTATTGATGTATAGCAAGCTCTCCAGGAATTGAACTCAGCTCTGCACCAAGCAGACCTAATAGACATCTACAGAACTCTCCACCCCAAATCAACAGAATATACATTCTTCTCAGCACCACATCGCACTTATTCCAAAATTGACCACATAGTTGGAAGTAAAGCACTTCTCAGCAAGTGTAAAAGAACAGAAATTATAACAAACTGTCTCGCAGACCACAGTGTAATCAAACTAGAACTCAGGATTAAGAAACTCACTCAGAACCGCTCAACTGCCTGGAAACTGAACAACCTGCTCCTTAATGATTACTGGGTACATAACGAAATGAAGGCAGAAATAAAGATGTTCTTTAAAACCAATGAGAACAAAGACACAACATACCAGAATCTCTGGGACACATTTAAAGCAGTGTGCAGAGGGAAATTTATAGCACTAAATGCCCACAAGAGAAAGCAGGAAAGATCTACAATTGAAACCCTAACATCACAATTAAAAGAACTAGAGAAGCAAGAGCAAACACATTCAAAAGCTAGCAGAAGGCAAGAAATAACTAAGAGCAGAGCAGAACTGAAGGAGATAGAGACACAAAAAACACTTCAAAAAAATCAATGAATCCAGGAGCTGGTTTTTAGAAAAGATCAACAAAATTGATATGCCACTAGCAAGACTAATAAAGAAGAAAAGAGAGAAGAATCAAATAGATGCAATAAAAAATGATAAAGGGGATATCACCACCAATCCCACAGAAATACAAACTACCATCAGAGAATACTATAAACACCTCTATGCAAATAAACTAGAAAATCTAGAAGAAATAGATAAATTCCTGGACACATACACCCTCCCAAGACTAAACCAGGAAGAAGCTGAATCCCTGAATAGACCAATAACAGGCTCTGAAATTGAGGCAATAATTAATAGCTCACCAACCAAAAAAAAGTCAAGGACCAGATGGATTCACAGCCAAATTCTACCAGAGGTACAAGGCGGAACTAGTACCATTCCTTCTGAAACTATTCAAATCAATAGAAAAAGAGGGAATCCTCCCTAACTCATTTTATGAGGCCAGCATCATCCTGATACCAAAGCCTGGCAGAGACACAACCAAAAAAGACAATTTGAGACCAAGATCCCTGATGAACATCAATGCAGAAATCCTCAATAAAGTACTGGCAAACTGAATCCAGCAGCACATCAAAAAGCTTATCCACCATGATCAAGTGGGCTTCATCACTGGGATGCAAGGCTGGTTCAATATACGCAAATCAATAAACATAATCCAGCATATAAACAGAACCAAAGACAAAAACCACATGATTATCTCAATAGATGCAGAAAAGGCCTTTGACAAAATTCAACAACCCTTCATGCTAAAAACTCTCAATAAATTAGGTATTGATGGGACATATCTCAAAATAATAAGAGCTATCTATGACAAACCCACAGCCAAAATCATACTGAATGGGCAAAAACTGGAAGCATTCCCTTTGAAAACTGGCACAAGACAGGGATGCCCTCTCTCACCACTCTTATTCAATATAGTGTTGGAAGTTCTGGCCAGGGCAATTAGACAGGAGAAAGAAATAAAGGGTATTCAATTAGGAAAAGAGGAAGTCAAATTGTCCCTGTTTGCAGATGACATGATTGTATATTTAGAAAACCCCATTGTCTCAGCCCAAAATCTCCTTAAGCTGATAAGTAACTTCAGCAAAGTCTCAGGATACAAAATCAATGTGCAAAAATCACAAGCATTCTTATACACCAATAACAGACAAACAGAGAGCCAAATCATGAGTGAACTCCCATTCACAATTGCTTGAAGGAGAATAAAATACCTAGAAATCCAACTTACAAGGGATGTGAAGGACCTCTTCAATGAGAACTACAAACCACTGCTCAACAAAATAAAAGAGGACACAAACAAATGGAAGAACATTCCATGCTCATGGATAGGAAGAATCAATATCGTGAAAATGGCCATATTGTCCAACGTAATTTATAGATTCAATGCTTCTAATAATCCACATGCATCAGAATGTAAAGCAAATGGGATTTTTTTTTCAGTCAGCAGCTGTGCTGAGCTATATAGAGGAGTGCCATCCAGACTGGGTCTAACTTTAATGTAAAACAAATGCTATTCCCAAGCAGAATTAATATTTTCAGGCATTTATTTTTCTTTAACAGCTAACAACATCACTGGGCATTTCTACCTTAAAATGCACTCAGGAAAATAACAAACTCATATTACCAATAAAAATGCATCATAAGGTACAGCTAAGCACATGTAGCCTAAAAGAACAATACTCAATAAGTAGGAATGTGCAAAGGAGATAATTTGGTAAATCTAGTAATAAATGTTGCAAATTTGACAAGTGCTTATTGTGAATTATAAAAAAAATATGAAGGTAAGATGTTTAGCTAAACTAGGAAAAGAAAACATCTTCAAAAGAAGACCAAAAGAAACTCATGAGGCTATAAAAGCAAACCGATGAAAGACTTCATGACTAAAACACCAAAAGCTATGAACAGACACTTCTCAAAAGAAGACATATATGAGGCCAACAAACATATGATAAAAAGCTCATCATCACTGGTCATTAGAGAAATGCAAACCAAAGCCACAATGAGATACAATCTCACACCAGTTAGAATGGTGATCATTAAAAAGTCTGGAAACAACAGATGCTGGAGAGGATGTGTAGAAATAGAAATGCTTTTACCCGTTGGTGGGAGTGTAAATTAGGTCAACCATTGTGGAAGACAGTGTGGCGATTCCTCAAGGATCTAGAATCAGAAATACCATTTGACCCAGCAATCCCATTACTGGGTATATAACCAAAGGATTATAAATCATTCTACTATAAAGACACATGCACACGTATGTTTACTGCAGCACTATTCACAATAGCACAGACTTGGAACCAACCCAAATGCCCATCAATGATAGATTGGATAAAGAAAATGTGACACATATACACCATGGAATACTATGCAGACATAAAAAGGATGAGTTCATGTCCTTTGCAGGGACATGGATGAAGCTGGAAACCATCATTCTCAGCAAACTAACACAGGAACAGAACCAAACATTGCGTATTCTCACTCATAAGTGGGAGTTGAACACTGAGAACACATGGATACAGGGAGGGGAACATCACACACCAGGGTCAGTCAGTGGGTGGGGGGCCAGAGGAGCGATAGCATTAAGAGAAATACTTAATGTAGATGATGGGTTGATGGGTGCAGCAAACCACCATGGCATGTACATACCTATGTAACAAACTTGCATGATCTGCACATGTATCCCAAAACTTAAAATATAATTTTAAAAAGCCCACTATTCACAAAATATTGCATATATCAGAAATATCTAGAAATATAAAATTGAGTTAGAAATACTCTTAGATAAATTAGCTTAAAGCATTTAATGCCAAATGGATGGAAAAGAAAAAAATACAGGCCATCCAGAAAGAAAAAAAGTAATTGAAGGGAAATTGAAGGCTAAAACTGGTTTTCATGTACATTATGTTAGGCAAATTGACCTGAAGCTTTTGGCTATTTCTTGAGATATTTCACAGAGTTGGCTATAATTAGTAATATTTTTTGAGTTTCAAGAAGTTAGAGACTATTTTAAACATTATCTTTTAATCACTGAACTTATTGTCCAAAGATTCCTCACATCTGCTGCTAATAGTGGTAGATATTTGCACTTTCTTCTCAACATGCAAGTTCCACAATGCCCTGTTAAAGAAACTTCTCCAGTGGGATGGAATAAAACATCAAAAATACAAGTTTCTAAATGCTTACTCTAAATTTCTGGCTTATTTTAGCAGTACTGGTAAAAGTGTTTAACCAACACAAGTTTGTAAACCATTATTTGAGTAGAGTTGTGATATACAAGAGAGACAATTTGTGCCCTCTAATATATTTTATTACTTAGGACTGCTTTTGACTAAGAGTAATGGGAAAAAATAGCCAAACAACTTCAAATTTCCAAAAAGAAAAAGAAAATTAATGCCTCCATAAATATTTAGCATAGAGATGTTGGAATTAAATCCCCAATAAAGTAAATAAACAAATAAACAAAAAGGTTCAAAATAATCCTCCCTCCCCCAAAAATAAACATAGAGAATCTGAAAATGTCATCAACTTTCAGAAAAAAATATTAGTTCTTTTCTAAAGATATTATTCATCAAATTCCCAGTAGATCCCAAAGCTTGGAGCTATCAGCAAAAGAATTTAGTACTATTATTTTTATTGTTATTATTATTATTATTATTGCATGTACAATAAGACCACATTGCATTGTGCATTATTTTAAGATTCGTTTTCCAGGTATCTAGAACTAGAAATACCATTTGACCCAGCCATCCCATTACTGGGTATATACCCAAAGGATTGTAAATCATGCTGCTATAAAGAGACATGCACACGCATGTTTATTGCGGCACTATTCACAATAGCAAAGACTTGGAACCAACCCAAATGTCCAACAATGATAGACTGGATTAAGAAAATGTGGCACATATACACCATGGAATACTATGCAGCCATAAAAAATGATGAGTTCATGTCCTTTGTAGGGACATGGGTGAAGCTGGAAACCATCATTCTCAGCAAACTATTGCAAGGACAAAAAACCAAACACCGCATGTTCTCACTCACAGGTGGGAACTGAACAATGAGAACACATGGACACAGGAAGGGGAACATCACACACCACGGCCTGTTGTGGGGTGGCGGGAGGGGGGAGGGATAGTATTAGGAGATAAACCTAATGTTAAATGACGAGTTAATGGGTGCAGCACACCAACATGGCACATGTATACATATGTAACAAACCTGCATGTTGTGCACATGTACCCTAAAACTTAAAGTATAACTAAAAAAAAAAGGTAGAGTTAAATAGAATAAATGCTTTAGAGGGTCACGTAAGGTCGATTGGAAAATTCTTTGTAATTTTTTAAACATCTACTAGGAAAAACTGATGTAAAAACATTTTTCCACTGGCATGGAGCAATTCAATTCACCTAGTAGAACCCAGCAGCTCCCAGCCTGTGTGGGGATTATGAGGTAGAAGTTGGGCTGCTTTTTGATTTGGCTCACTGTTGATTGCACTGGGCTGACCTGGATCATTGGATTCTGAAGTTTTCGTGGATGGAAGCAGTGAAGATGTCCTAATAAATGAAGAAAAGCATACGCCTATCAGTTAACAACCTTCTTTCTTCCCAAAGTGAAACGGTATGGCCATACGAATGGGGTTTTATTATTAACCCTTTAATTCAGATTGTATACTTTTTGCCAGTTTATACATTTTACTTTTGCTTTTTGTGATTTAGTGATAAAGGAATGATTTCTATAAAGGCCTGATTATCTCCTTACACTGAAACTTGTTAAGATCAAAATAAAGAGGTAACATGAAAAAAAAAAAAAAAGCAGTCTGAGGAAAAAAAAAATTCGTTTTCCAACTCCAACACAAACTACAAAATATCTGAGAAAATGTAAGCATTTAATTTTTACATGTTATTTTGCAATTATTCTAATTTACATCAAGTCTGGTTTTTAACCCATTTTTAACATAATTAGCTAAACTAGCAAAGTAAAAATTCATCATTTTATTCTAATTTACTGATGACAAAATAAACTTTACTAGACCTTTCTTGGTCAAGAAAAAACAATAATCAAGAATCAGGAATGTGCAAAGGAGTTAATTTGATAAATGTAGTAATAAATGTAAATTTGACAAGTATTTACTGTGAATCATATAAAATTATGAAGGTAAAAATGTTTAATTTGCATGAATGTGAAAAAAGTAATGAAGCAAATAATGACGAAGTTATTCCAAAGAAATAAGAAACCAAGAATTTCTATTAGTCTTTTACGTATTGAGTTTGATTTTGTGAGGTGCTAAAACCAAAGTATATTATTTCTGAATATGTATGTCTAATGAAGCAATAAACATCACCTTTTAAATGCCATTTATGTAAACCATAAAGAAGTTCAAACTAAAAAATGTTTGAAAGTATTACAAGAACCTGAAAAGTACTAATATTTCATCTGTTGGCTGTAGCCAATAGCACTTTATATTGCTAAGACTAAAAAGACATAGTTAATTGACAAAAAAGAGTCACAGACTACACATCAGAGATTTCCAATGAATCTTTGCCATGTATTCAGCACTGGTCGACCACATCGTGCAATGTACTCAGCACTGGTTGACAATATGGAGACAAACTTAGAGAACAAATAAATCTAGTAAACTATTTTTCATTGCAACTTTAGAAACGCACAGACACTGCAAACTTCAGCAATTGCTTTACCACAAGTGCAATTTGGACATATTAGTGACAGAAAGGTAGAACTGTTGGATTAGCACCATTATTTACAAGTATAATTAGCTCTGAATGGAATAAAACTAGAAAAGCTTGCATTTGTTATTATTCTATTTATTTATTTATTTATTTATTTATTTATTTATTTATTTATTTTGAGACAGAGTCTTCCTCTGTCACCCAGGCTGGATGGAGTGTATTGGCGCAATCTCGGCTCACTGCAACCTCCACCTCACAGGGTCAAGCGATTCTCTGCCTCAGCCTCCTGGGTAGCTGGGATTACAGGCGCACGTCACCATGCCCAGCTAGTTTTTTTATTTTTAGTAGAGACGGGGTTTCACTATGTTGGTCAGGCTGGTCTCGACCTCTTGACCTCAAGTGATCTGCCTGCCTCAGCCTCCCAAAGTGCTGGGATTACAGGCATGAGCCACCGTGCCTGGCCTTAAAAATTCTTACAAGTAAGCTTTGTGTAGGACTGCTGCAATGGTAGGTAATCGCTTGGAGTAGTTATTCAAATGGAGGAGTTTACACCAGAAACCTAGAAGCTGGGAAATACTGACTCCAGCCAAATAACGACAAAGACGAAATTAAAACAAAAGAAAAACGGAGACTTCATTTCTACAACTGCATGGAGCTGTATTCTGCCAACCATCTGGATGATCTTAGAAGTACATTCTTTACCAGAGCCTCCAGGTAACAGACTAGCTCAGCTGGCACCTTTTCTCCACCCCCAGCATTACTGAGCAAATGTAAGTGACAAATAAGAATTGTATATATTTATGTTGTATAATGTGATGTTTTCATATATGCATACATTGTGAAATGATTACTACAATCAGGCTAATTAATATCTCCATTACTTCAGTTATCTTTTTTTGTGTGTAGTGAGAAAATTTAAGGTCAACCCGCTGAGCCACTTTCAAGTATGTATTAACTATAGTCACCATGCTGTACAACAGATCTCCAGAATTTATTGATTTTAACTGAAACTTGTTACCCTTTGACCAACATCCCCCATTTCTACCTCCCACTCCTAGCTGTTGGCAACCATCATCCTACTCTCTGCTTCTATGAGTTTGATAGTTTTAGATTCTACGTATAAGTGAAAACATGGCATATTTTTCTTTCCATGTTGGGCTTATTTCACTTAGCACAGTGTCCTCCAAGTTCATCCATGTCATCTCAAATGACAGAATTTCCTTATTTTTAAAAGCTAAATTACATATCATTAGGTATATATACTACATTTTTGTTATGCATTCCTCCATCAATGGACACTTAGATTAATTTTATATCTTGGCTATTGTGAATAATGCTGCAATGAACATGGGAGTGCAGATGTCTCTTTGACATGCTGATTTCATTACCATTGAATACATACCCAGTAGTGGGATGGTTGGTTCCTAAGGTAGTTCTATTTTCAATTTTTTTTTTAAGGAACTTCTACAATGGCTATACTAATTTACATTGACACCAGTAGTGTACAGGGTTCCCTTTTCTTTTTTTTTTTTTAGACAGGGTCTCACTCTGTCACCCAGGCTGGAGTGCACTGGCCGCGATCTTGGGGCTCACTGCAATCTGCAACTTCCGCCTCCTGGGCTTAAGCGATCCTCCCGCTTTGGCCGCTCAAATAACTGGGACTACAGGTGTGAGCCACCACACCCATCTAATGTTTGTATGTATGTATGTATGTATTTATTTAGTAGAGATGAGTTTTCACCATGTTGCCCAGGCTGATCTCAAACTCCTGAGCTCAAGAGATCCACTCCCTGCAGCCTCTGAAAGTGCTAGGATTATGGGAGTAAGCCACCATGCCGGACCCTTCATCTTTTATTTATTTATTTATTTATTTATTTATTTATTTATTTATTTAATATACGGAGTTTCACTCTGTTGCCCAGGCTGGAGTGCAGTGGAGCAATTTCGGCTCATCGCAACCTCCACCTCCCCGGTTCGAGCGATTCTCCTGCCTCAGCTTCCCTAGTAGCTGGGATTACAGGCACCTGCCACCATGCCGGGCCAATATTTTGTATTTTTTAGTAGAGACGAGGATTCACCATGTTGGTCAGGCTGGTCTTGAACTCCTGAACTCAGGTGATCTGCCTGCCATAGCCTCCCAAAATGCTGGGATTACAGGCGTGAGCCACCGCGCCCTGCCTCATTGCTTGTGTAATAGCCATTCTAACAGTTATAAGGTGATATCTCATTGTGGTCTCAATTTGCATTTCTCTGACGATTAGTGATGCAGAGCATCTTTTCATATATCTATTGGCCATTTGTGTATCTTCTTTTGAGAAATGTCTATACAGGTTCTATGTTCATTTTTTTTAATTGTCTAATTTTTTTTTTCTATTGAGTTGTTTGAGTCCCTTAAATATAATGGATATTAACCTTTTTTTGGATGTGTGGTGTGCAAATATTTTTTTTCCATCTGCTATCTTAGTTTCAATTTGTGAGACACCAAGCAGAGAACCCAGCTGAATCTGCCTGGATTTGTGACCAAAAGAACTGTGAGATAGTAAATGAAAGTTATTTTAAACCTCTAAGTTGTTGTAATTTGTTTCGGTAGCAATAGAAAACTAAAACAAGATATCTCATAATTTAGCAATTATCATTGAAGTGGGTGATAATCTTTATATTGCAGTCTGTAAAAAGTTATCACTAAGCATCGTATTATTTGATGGAATGTTTAGATTTTATTTTCTAAAGAAGATTCACACATAAGGAGTTCATGAATCCAGAATCCATTTCTTTCTTTAAAATATAATTTGTTTGGGTGTAGAGTAATAGGAGAACTTATAGGAACTGGCTGCTGGTAAAACGTTTGACATTAAATTTTGAAAATACAGCAAAATTTTATGTTAGGCAAAAAATTTAACATTCTTAAATTGATGATATTTGAAAAAAATTTCTTCTTTGATTCCCATCATCATACTTAGGTGAGACTCATTTTTCTACTATGAATATTATTCAAACAAAATACAGAAACAGTGGAGAGATACGTTAGTTCATGCAAAGAATACTATTGAAATTCAATCCAAATTGGATAAAATTAAGAAGCATCAGAAAGATTACTGGTCACATTAAAAATTTTGATATTGATATACGTAATGTGTGTTCCCTATGTGCACATGGGTTGTTTTCTTGTTTGTTTAAAGACTTTACTTATTTATTTGTTTAGAGACAGAGTCTCACTCTGTCGCCCAGGCTAGAGTGCAATGGTGCAGTCTCTGCCCACTGTAACCTCCACCTCCCAGGTTCAAGCAATT
This sequence comes from Homo sapiens, assembly GCF_000001405.40. Lineage (NCBI taxonomy): Eukaryota > Metazoa > Chordata > Mammalia > Primates > Hominidae > Homo > Homo sapiens. The sequence goes on from NC_000005.10 coordinate 110,678,172, forward strand.
CTCCTGCCTGAGCTACCTGAGTAGCTGGGATTACAGGCACCCACCACCAAGCCTGGCTAATTTTTGTATTTTTAGTAGAGACGGGGTTTCACCATGTTGCCTAGGATGGTCTCGAACTCCTGACCTCAGGTGATTCCCCTGCCTCAGCCTCCCAAAACATTGGGATTACAGGTGTGAGCCACCATGCCTAGCCTGACTTTACTTTTTTAGAGCAGTTTTAGAGCAAAATTGGAGAGGAAAGCACAGAAATTTCCCATATACCTCCAACTCCCATACTTGCTCAGCCTGTCCTATTATCAACATCTGGACCAGAATGGTACATGTGTTATAATTGGTAAATCTACATCAACACATCATAATTACCCAAAGTCCATAGTTTACATTAGGGTTCACTCGGTGTTGCACATTCTATGGGTTTGGACAAATGTATAATGTCATGTATGCATTATAGTATCATACAGAGTGTTTTTGATACCTTAAAAATCCTCTATGCTCTGTCTATTCATCAGCCCCAGCACCCCGACCCCCCACCATGCCTGGCAACTAGTTTTTTTACTGTCTGTAGTTTTGCCTTTTCCAGAATGTCTTATAGTTTGAATTAAACACTATGTAGCCTTTTCAGATTGGCTTATTTCATTTAGTGATATGCATTTAAGGTTCCTCCATGTCTTTTTATGACTTAATAGCATATTCATTTTTAGTGTTAAATAATATTCTACCATACTGATGTACCACTGTTTTCCATTTATCTACTGAAGGACATCTTAGTTGCTTTCAAGTTTTAAGAATTATAAAGCTGCTAAAACATTCATGTGCAGGTTTTTCTATGGACTTAAGTTTTCAACTCCTCTTGGTAAGTAACAAGCAGCATGATTGCTGTACCTTATGGTAAGAGTATTTCTTACAAAGTAAGCTTTGTAAGAAACCACCAAATTGTCTTCCAAAGTGGCCATACCATGTTTTATTCCCACCAGCATCAAATGAGAGCACCTGTTGTTCCATGTCCTTGCCCGGACGTGGTGTTGTCAGTGTTCTGACTTTTGGCCATTCTAATAGTGTGTGTAGTATCTCATTATTGCTTTAATTTGCATTTCTCTGATGACTTATGATATAGAGTATCTTTTCACATGTTTATTTGCCATCTATATTTCATCTTTGTTGAGGTGCTGTTAAGGTTTTTGGTCCATTTTTAATCATGTTGCTTGTTTTTTTCTTTTCGAGTTTCTAAGAGCTCCGTGTATATTCTGAATAACATCTTTTATCGAATGAGTCTTTTGCAAATGATTCCTCACAGTCTGTGCCTGCCTTCTCATTTTATTGGGATTGTCTTTAACAGGACAGAAGTTGAAATTTAATGAAGTCGACCTTATCAATTTTTTTTCATAGAACATGTATTTGGTGTCATATCTAAAAAGTCATCACCATATTCCAGGTCATCTAGATTTTTATCTGCATATAGATTTTTAACATATGAAATTACTCTTTCACTAATATCTTTGTTTTGTTATGATTGAGGAATGACAAAAAGTTATGAGCATAATATTTATCTCCATATTAATTAGTTACATGTATTTTCACTCATTAATATATATAATTTTGCAATTGTTTTCCTTTCCACTGTGTTATATTTGTGTAGATTATATTTACTCAAAAGCAATTTTATGTCTGTTGGTTCTAAGTATTTACATTTGATTTTTGGCTGTCTTTTTATTTTTCATTTCATGGTAATTATCTTTCATTTTAATTTTTCCATGACAATTTAGAAGTTTTAAAATTGGTACTCTACAGAGAGTTGGAAAAGCATCTTTAAAAAGTAATCATATGTCTGCTGATTCCTTACATCCTAACTCCAGACCTATTACATTTAGTCTCTGGAGTTGTCCAGGAATGTGTGTTTGTCCTGTTTTGTTTCAAGCTCCCCAGGTGAGTTTAATATGCAACCCAAGGCCTGGTGCAGTGGCTCACGTCTGTAATCCCAGCACTTTGGGAGGCTGAGGCAGGAGGATCATCTGAGGTAGGGAGTTCAAGACCAGCCTGACCAACATGGTGAAACCCCTTCTCTACTAAAAATAAAAAATTAGCTGGGTGTGGTGGCACATGCCTGTAATCCAGCTACTCGGGAGGCTGAGGCATGAGAATCACTTGAACCCGGGAGGTGGAGGCTGCGGTGAGCCAATGCTGTGCCACTGCACTCCAGCCTAGGCAACAGAGTGAGACTCTATCTCAAAAAAAAAAAAAAAAAAAAAAAAAGCAACCTAAGTAGCTTAAAGTCATTGTGTAACAAAATCAGAGCTTTGACATAAACATGAAAAGTATAAGGTTTGCAGAGATGTAGGAAGTAGAATAATCTTTTTCTTGGTCTTCTTTTATTTTGTTCTTTAGCTTTGGTCAAGTACAATCCCTTACTCTAACATAAACATTTTTCTATTATTGAGTAAAACCATATTCTAAAGCAGAAAACCTTCTCTAAAAAGAAGCTACATTAAAATTTAAACATTTATTATAGGATGAGCATGCTAGATATGTCTTTTTTTGGAAAAAAAATAGAAAATAATTAGAATCAGAAAATCTGTGTTAAAATAACTGCACTGACATTAACATATTTTTCATATTTGAGGAAGGGGGTTCAGAAGGTCACAGGAGTTAGGGAAGGAGGGAAAAAGAAAGTAAAATCACCTAAGGAGTTTTTAAATTAACCCATCTAATCTGATTTGCCTTAAAGGAGAGAGGAAAATGGGGTATGGGTAGGGGTAGAGAAGAATCTGCAAAGAGAAAGGAGGAAGAAAAGGGGTAAAGAGAGAGGGAAAAGAGAAGGGTGAGGGCAGAGTGAAATGGGGATTGTTTCAAACTATACACGACGACACTCCAACACCAGGATTCTGCCAATACCACTCTAGACGCTCTAAGAGCTCCAGCAAAGAGGTTGAGGAGGAAGGAAATGTGCAGTTCATAAAAGCCAGGGGAGGTAGTTCTTCATGGGCTCACTGGTTGAAAACCACTTGTATACGACAATTTCTCAGGCAGTGTTGATAGCCATAAAAAGACTAGAAATTTGGCCGAGGGGTGAGACTCCCAGTGATGCCTGCAAGGATTAACTGAGGACCAGGGAGGAATGTAAACAGCCACATCTGTATCTTCTATGGCAATTGCTTCCGGGAGGAGCAGGGCAGCAGGAAGGTGGGCAGGAATGCTAGGTACTTGGCTTCTGGATCCCTCTTCCCTAATTATTCAATAAGCACTCCCTACCTGTTCAAGTTTCAGTTTCTCACCTGTAAAACAGAAATGATAATATCTAAGCAGAGTTGCCTGAGGATTAAGTAAGATAAAATATTCTCCATATTGTAGGGTGTCAGTGAATGATAGCCATTTAATAGTTGAATGCGTGAGAGAGATTAAATATCTATCTTCATCCGAAAAAAGGGGGTTTGTGTTATTCATTGTTGGACCTAAATTCTCAAAGACACTTTGAAGTAGAGTGGAATATTTAAATGGTTGAGAACCATTTGCCAGAAGAGATTAGCAAAAACAAGTTACAGTTACAAGTTTAAGTGGAGTTGAATAATAGAACTTGGTCACAAATACTAATCAGTAATGGAGTTCAAACATTCAGCTTCTAAAATGCTATTTGCTAAAAAGAGAGTCTTGAACCATCTATTAAAACCTACTGCAGAAATAATTCATAACATTTCATTCCTTCTCGGGAGAGTTATATGCATAGAGCATGTTGACTTGTGAATTGTACAAAAAGGAGACAACAGTAGCATATTTCATGATATTTCATAGTCTTTAGTAACCCCAGACCATTTTACAACAGAAATAAAAAAATAAAATGAGGCTAAAAATTTTAACTTCTTCTGCTATTAAGACACATTTTTTTTACTTTGCAGTAAAATCACAATTAAATGTAAAGAAACTAAAATAAACTTGTTAAATTGGATTATTTCACTTTTACATCACTGTCAAGAAGTAGCTATAATTTTTCCTGAATCAGCAAAAGATGATGTAAAAGGAAATAATAGCTTTAAGTAAATTAAAATTATCCTTAAGATTAAAATATCCTTTTTATTTTCTACAGTCCCAAAACACAGGGTACTCATTAAATTTGTGGATAGAAATGGAAATAAAACATTAAGTGAATAAAAATGATCTGAATGATTGAATTGCTCTCCCTTTAAAATAAGCAAAACCTTCCCTAAATAATGAAATGAAAGGTTAAAAAAAAAACAACAATTATTTTAGACACCAACTATTTCTAGGACCCAGCTCTCTGCTTGCTCTAATGTTCTTGGCTTATAAAGCATCCCACTGTGGAAGATGGTCTAAAGTAGCTGCCACATTTTCTTTACCACTTCCCAGGGGTAAATTCTGATAATTTAAATAGATTTCAAAAATTTACCTTGCATATTTATCTGAAATGGCCAAAAAAATGGCTTGATTTCAGGCTTTAATTATATCAGATATGGTTTTTATATTAAATGATATTTACTCTTAAATTTATTCTAGTACAAAAAATGTAGTATCTAGAATATAGTTTCTGCTATGACCTCAGCTTTGAGATGATCTCTCCAAGGCTGACAAGAATATCCCAGTAGACAAATCCACTATGAGCTTTTCAGTACTGATCTTACCTGATCCCTCCATGGTATCTGACCCTGCCAACCACCCCTTCTGGAATTAAGTGTCTTCTTTCTCATTCATCATTACACTCCTAGGACATTTGGCTTTTCTCCCTCTCAGACTTCTGTGTGGTATGGTGGGTAAGTGTGCAATGCAGGAATCAGCAGCTTACTTTAATCCTTGCTCCAGAACAGACTATGTCTGTTTCATTGTGCAGATTACTTTAACTGCAGGTGCCTCAGTTATCTCATCTACAAATAGGGATTATATTGGTCTTGCTTGTTAATGGGACCTTACTATCCAAGTGGAAAGGAACACTTATTACTTATTATGTGTTTTTTTGTGTAATACCCTTTTAATTAATTATATAAATGGACTAAGCAATAAATACTTTAAACATGAAAATATTCCAAAATTAGTACATCAAAATGTGTGGGTTTAATTGATAACTATAAAATACAGGTTAAAAATAAATGGGGATTTATTAACCTTTGTGCATAGCTGGCCTTTTATAATAAAATACTGAAAGTACTGATTCACAATTACATAGATGTAACAATTTTTAAGCATTAAATTATAAATTACAAAGAGATACACACACACACATATATATGTTGTGGCCTTGTAATATATATATAGAGAGAGAGTACATGTGATTCTCTTAGATGTTTAAACAACCAAAAAAATACAATATCTAATATTATAATAATCAAAAGAATAACCAGCACGCTTAAACAAAAACTGCTTTTAAAATTGTTAATAAAATCATTTTAATTATTTTTATCATTATCTATTTTTATTATGCTCATTCTTTCTTTCCAGAATATCTTCCTAAGGCTTTTAGTAGTTTTATTATTATTATGCCTTTTTAGAGTTTCAACAATCTTATTATATTCTATACAAAAATATATAAAATTTTGAGCCACTCAAGGTTATAGAATCTGTGGCAGTATGGGAAAGGGTACTTATTGGGAAATATTACCTATTAACCTAGCTGCAAACATTTCTAAACAAAACATAAGAAAACCATACCTAGGGATATCAATAAAAAAGAATTCATTATAACGGAGATGGGTTTAGTCTCAGAAGAGCAAGGATGATTTAATACTGTAAAATCTATTTTTACAGACCATAACATTGGTGTATTGATGTACTTAAAGCAAAATAGTAGGAAATATTTTGATATATGCCAAAGAATAATTCCATTAAATTCAGTTTCCATTCATGATTCTAAAAACAAATAAAAAAACTTTCCAAGCTAAGAACAGTTCTCCTTATTTTAATTAAATGTATCTAGGAAAAACTAAAACAAACATGATAATTAATGATAAATCATTGGAAGCTTTATCTTAAAAGCCAGAAACCATAAAAGGGTGTCTATATCATTACTACTACTCAAAATGTAATAGGCAGTTGCAGTCAAGAATAACCTTAAAAAGAAAAAGAATAAAGAATATAAATACATGAAAAGAAGAGGGACCATATTTATTTTTTAAATATTTACATTAAAATCTCTGAAGAATCTGTACAAACAAAAAATAGATTATATCCAATTAAGAAGAGATTTCTGGATAAACAATTAATACAGAAAAGTTAGTGACATGAGTTTTAGTGCCAGTAAAGATGGCTTTTGGCTCCTGTCTCTAAAAGCAACTTTGAAGGACTAAAGAAGGAAACGTGAAATCCAAGATATTATAGATTAAAAGAAAAAATAAAACACTTGAGCTAAGCCCCTGGAGAAATGAAAAGCTATTTTAAACATGTTAGAGAAAGAGGTTTGTAAGTGCAGCTCTGTGAGAATAAATTAGTAAACAGGAGTTCGAGTTATTCTTTTTAACTACTGATAAGTATGCAACAACAAACAACAAAAATTTAGCAAAGCTATAGAAGCAATATAATTACTATGCTTGACCAAATGGACATATAGAGAATTCTATATTTATTTATTAGAGAATATACATTTTTCCCAAACACACAAGAACAATTTATCTCTCTCTTGTTTTTTCTATGTCCCCCCTATTCACAATATAGACAAGGCACAGGACCTGGGCTGAGTTGTATACGGGGTGTGTTTACTCTATCTCTTTTTTTCTGTACAGTCAATGCAAGCACACAGCTGCTTGTAAGCACCAGGAGGCCAACAATTTCTAAAACTTGATCACATGCTAGCTTAGAAAGTATGTCTTAACGAATTGCAAAATGTAGGTAATCTACATGAGTAGATTATATTCCCTGACATCAAAACACAATTGAGTTAGAAAATTATAACAAAAGGATAAATTAACTCTACATATATTGGGAAATAAAAAACACTAATTCTAGGTCACCTACGGCTCAAAAAAAGAAATAACAATGAAATTTGAAAAATATTTAGAATTAAATGATAGTAAAATACTACATATAAAAACTTATGATGTGCAAGAAAATGGCACTTCAGAGGAAATGTTACATAAACATTCATCTAACAGCAAAGGAAAGCTAAAAATTAATTAGCCAACATTACAAATGGGAAAAATAACAGCAAAGTAGACCCCAAAAAAGTGGAAGTGAAGAGAAGTTTTAAGAGCAGATATTGGTGATATACAGAACAAAATCTGAGAAAGATCAACAAAGCCAGTATGATCAAAATCATTAGTCTTTGGAAAAATTCAAATTAAAAGCATAATGAACTTCTATTTCACACTAACTAGAATTGCTAACATTAAAAAAACTGACAATACCAAATTCTGAGGAATATAGAACAATGAAACTCTAATATGTTGCTGATGGCAGTGAAAATAAGCTATAACAATGTAGGAAATCTATTTGTCTGTGCCTTTGTAAGTTAACTGTACACCTACACCCTGACCTAGAAATTCCATTCCCAAAGCAATGAAAACACTGTCATAAAAAGACTTGTACAAGAATGCCTATAGTACTGTTATTCGCAATAGTCCCAAACCAGAAACAACTCAACCATCTGTCAGTGGGAAAATGGATAAACAATTTGTGGTATGTTTATATAATAGGATTATTCTCAGTAACAACAAAGAACAAATTAATGCTACAAGCAACGACATGCATAAATCTCAAAAATACTACATTGAGTGAAAAAAGCCAAACACAAAAGTGTACATACTATGTGATTTCATATATGAGAAATTCAAGCACAGACAAAACTACTGCATGGTGATGGTCTATGGGAGGTGTAAGGATTGAATGGAAGGTGGCATGATGGAAATATTATATATTAGGGATGGTAACATGGGTATATGTATGTATCAAAACTCAATGAAACAGATTAAATTTTTAAAGATGACCACAGCAGTATCTCCCATACTGTATGTTGTGCAATGTGACCTTGCCACTCCCCCAAACAAGAGATAGAGTCTAATCCCAATACTTGTGAATCTGGGCTTAATTCAGTGACTTAGTTGACTAACAGAATGTGGCAGAAGTGACACTCTAGGACTTCAGAGGCCAAACTACTAAAACAGCCTTACAGTTTGCTCCTGGGTCTCTTGGGACATGCAGAATCCAGCCACCATGCTATGAGAAGGCAATGTCACATGGAGAGCCATGTATAGAGGATCAGGTTTATAGTTCTAACCAAGTGCGCAAGTAACAGCAAGCAGAAACTGCCAGGCATGTGAGAGAGCCATTTTGGTTGTCCAACCCAATCAAGTCTTCAGATGACTAGAGACTCAGTTGACATCAAACCACATCCTGTGGTTTAAGGAGATACCCCAAATGATAATTATCCAGAGAAGACAGTCAACTCCAAAACTGTGCGAGTTGATAAAAAAAAAAATTGTTTTAAGCCACTAAGTTATAGATAACCAGAACCCTTATTGAGTTGTATGAACACTTGTACATTTCACTATATGCAAATTTTACTTCAGTACAAATAAGATTATAAGAGAAAATACTGTATTTGAATTAGGTTTAGCGACATATAACAGAAATAAAAATAAGGGCTCAAACAGTATAGAAGCATATTTCTCTCTGATGTACGAAAATAAAAAATAAAAGAACATAAAAGTTCAAAAACAATGTAGGGTGTATTGGGCAGCTTCACAGTCATGAGACCAAGGCTCTGTCTAAATCTTCCTTTCACGGTCATTGTTAGGCCTCCCCTGACTTCAGGTTGTTCACAGGCTCATGTAGCATCACATCACTGGGGAGCTACTATTGGTCATTATGTATTATTGATCCTCATCTTCAAAGGAGCACTGTTAATCAAGTCTGCTTTTCATCCCTTTTTCATTCTCCCAGATCAGGATGCCATTATCTCTGTCCTAGATTAATACAATAACTGCTTATCTACCATTCTCCTTCTGACCTTTCTTCCCCCTGAGAAAAGAAAAATAACTCAGGGGAGTTTGAATAGTGCTGCCTCACCCATTATCTTCATGTTCTTGGAATTTGTGGCACAAGAACCAGGTATAGCTAATCAACACTTTATGTTATTTTAATGTAAGTGATTGGTAAACAGCTTAGGAACTGCCTCTTCTTTCCTTTAAAAACCCACGTGTAACTGCTGCTAATTGGAGCATATATTCAGGGCAACTTGAATCTGTCTCTTGGGTTGCAGTCCTCAAATCTGACCCAAATAAACTCTCTATATTAATTTTCTCTCCATTTTTTCCTTTAGGTTGATATTCTAGTCTCATCTTTTACATGACTCCCAAACATAAATCTCCTAATCATTTCACTCTTCTACCAGCCTTTCAGACCCTTTAATTTCAGACCCTGTAATACAACCTTATTGCCAATAAAATAAAATCCAAACTCATAGGGACTATCCAGATTCCTGGAGCATAAGGTTTGAGTATATGCTTTATATTTATATCTATTGTTTTGGGAAAAAAAGGTAGTTTTGGTTTCTATTACAAAGTCAAATTTTCTCTTTCTCTTTCTCTTTGTCTCTCTCTCTGTCTCTCCCTCTCTCTCTATACATGTGTGTGTATATACACACACACACATATTCACATATACATACGTACATATTATAAATCCTAATTGCAAACCTTTGGTGCAAAATATGTTGGAAAATGGATTATCTTATTCATTTTGGGGTACCACACTTACATTAGAAAACACCATTTGGAAATTTGCAGAGTAGTGTGAAGGGAAAGGTGAGGCAATGTAACACAATGTCCCTTTTGGAAATAGTTAAAAAAATAAAAATGTTTGGTTTGTAAAAGAGAAGTAGAGACATATAGGTGATGGGATATCATTGATGTCTCTTAAGTATGAAGGCTTTGCATATTTTGTTTAGTAACTCCTCTCTCTTCATGGTTTGTACTTCTCTACTCTGAGGGGATGTGTGTGTGTGTGTGTGTGTGTGTGTAATTTTTAATAGTCTTGCTTTGACAATTAAGTTATTAATTTATCCACAAATGAGTTCTGGCAGAAGATAAATGTAGAATTTCATTTCTATATGGATAACCATATAGATACATAGAGACATAGGTAGTTGGATAGATGAAGATTTTCTTCCATTCATGCCTGAACTTCAAGGCAGAAAGCTGAAGCTGCCTTATATTATGATTTCAGAAGACAAAAGTAAAAAGCTAAGCTTGTTGAAGAGATGACAGTAAGTGTCATATGGGGAGAAACAAAATTCTTGGGATTGTGGAGAGAGAGAGATGTCTCCTGAGACTGGAATGTAACAGAAGTCATTCAGATACATTTCCTCTGTTGGAGTAGCACTCCCAGAAGGTGACAGCACCTCAAAAGAAATGGCTGGGCCTTGTGCCTTAGGAGACAGGACCCCACAGCTTAGTAGAGGCATAAAAATCTTCCCTGGGCCTAACTGTGGCCCATAAGAGGTATGACAAACCAAAGGAGGCCATATAGATGGGACAATTGACCCAATACCCTGAGGTACCTCTCCAGTGCTTTGTTGATGCATGAGCACTGTGAAAGGAAATTAAATTTTGGGACCCCAAACTCATTTAGCCAAAAGGAAAAGTCAACCTGGGAACTGGGTCACACAAACCTGCCTCCACCTTTTGGCTGCTAAATAAGATGGCTATACAATGAAAAGGTACTTGCCTCCCCCATGTTTTGCCCACAGGGAAATTCCTGGTGAGCTGCTAAAACTTCACCATGGCAATGCAAATTGATAGCTTTATAAAAATGCAGTCAACCCAGCTCTCCAGACACAAATGCATATCTGGTTGTTCCCCTACCCCATTTGTCGGTGTTATGTAAAATGAAGATTCCCCCCATTTTTCCTTTGACCCTTTTGTTTTTGTGAAAACTGTATGCTTCTCAATATACCACCCTTTCCCTTTTAAATTTGGACCCCTCAAAATCATCTTCAGAGAAAGGCATAGACCTGTATCCCAGGCGCATCCTTAACTTTGGCAAATAAATCTCCAAAAATGATTGAGACTTGTCTTCCATTGACAGTACCCAGGACCTTTGTAAACCCTGGGGCAAGGGCAGGGCTAATAACAATTGAGAGGAAATATTCAACCAATCAAGCAAAACAGAGTCTTGGAGTAGCCAATTTAAAGAAAGTACAGAAATACTATTTATTGCATACATATATATGTTCATCAACTGATTCATAACTACTATGTAAATTTTAACTTTATAGTACTAAATTTAAAAATTGGCAATTTTTTTCAGAAATAGTAAGTATAAATATAATCTGTAATCAACACAAAACACTAATATTCAAAATACTGAAAACTGAAGCATTTAAAGTGTTTACAGGTGCTTTAGAAACCCTTGGACAAGATAGGAAGAATCAATATCGTGAAAATGGCCATACTGCTCAAAGTAATTAATAGATTCAATGCTATCCCCATCAAGCTACCATTGACTTTCTTCACAGAATTAGGAGAAAACTTCTTTAAATTTCATATGGAACCAAAAAAAGGGCCCATATAGCCAAGACAATCCTAAGCAAAAAGAACAAACCTGGAGGCATCACACTACCTGACTTCAAACGATACTACAAGGCTACAGTAACCAAAACAGCATGGTACTGGTACCAAAACAGATATATAGACCAATGAAACAGAATAGAGGCCACAGAAATAATGCCACACATCTACAACCATCTGATCTTTGACAAACCTGACAAAAACAAACAATGGGGAAAGGATTCCCCATTTAATAAATGGTATTGGGAAAACTGGCTAGCCATATGGAGAAAACTGAAACTGGACCCCTTCCTTACACCTTATACAAAAATTAACTCAAGATGGTTTAAAAACTTAAATGTAAAACCTAAAACCATAAAAACCTTAGAAGAAAACCTAGGCAATACCATTCAGGACATAGGCATGGGCAAAGGCTTCATGACTAAAACACCAAAAGCAATGGCAACAAAAGCCAAAATTGACAAATGGGATCTAATTAAACTAAAGAGCTTCTAGACAGCGAAAGAAAGTATCATCAGAGTGAACAGGCAACCTACAGAATGGAATAAAATTTTTTCAGTCTATCCATCTGACAAAGGGCTAATATCCAGAATCTAAAATGAATTTAAACAAATTTACAAGAAATAAACAACCCCTTCAAAAAGTGGGTAAACAGACACTTCTCAAAAGAAGACATATATGTGGTCAAAAAACATACGAAAAAAGGCTCATCATCACTGGTCATTAGAGAAATGCAAATCAAAACCACAATGAGATACCATATCATACCACTTAGAATGGCGATCATTAAAAAGTCAGGAAACAATGGATGCTATAGAGGATGTGGAGAAATAGGAACGCTTTTACACTGTTAGTGGGAGTGTAAATTAGTTCAACGATTGTGGAAGACAGTGTAGTGATTCCTCAATGATCTAGAACCAGAAATACTATTTGACCCAGCAATCCCATTACTGGGTATATACCCAAAGGATTATAAATCATCCTACTATAAACACACATGCACACATATGCTTATTGCAGCACTATTCACAGTAGCAAAGACTTGGAACCAACCCAAATACTCATCAATGATAGACTGGATAAAGAAAATGTAGCACATATACACCATGGAATACTATGCAGCCATTAAAAAGGATGAATTCATGTCCTTTGAAGGGACATGGATGAAGCTGGAAACCATCATTCTCAGCAAACTAACACAGGAACAGAAAACCAAACACCACATGTTCTCACTCATAAGTGGGAGTTGAACAATGAGAACATGTGGACATAGGGAGGGGAACGTCAAACACTAGGGACTGTTGGGGGTGTGGGGGTAGGGGAGGGATAGCAATAGGAGAAATACCTAAGTTAGATGACAGGCTGATGGGTGCAGCAAACCACCATGGCATGTGTAGCAAACCACCATGACACGTGCATACCTATGTAACAAACCCACATGTTCTGCACATGTATCCCAGAACTTAAAGTATAAGGAAAAAAAAAAAAAAGAAAGAAAGGAAGCTTTGGACAATGAGGAAAATGAGTTTAAAAGCATCATTAAAGTTTAAACAGGAAATATTTCCATTCCTATCAATCACTTATTTACTAATTTATTCAGGAAAATCACAATGAGCTGATACTGAAATTATAAATCCCTGTTCTGGCATACTTAGTTAAATATTTCAAATCTCCTTTATTCACCATAGGAAGCCCTTTGTCTTTGATGCAAACTGCTAATGTGATGAATGGTTTAGGAAGGAGCTACAAAAGGGATGTAATTGTCCATGAATTCTTGTATTGGATTTATGTTGTATGCCAGTACTTTTTATTTATTTGCAACTAACAGAAAAAGAAAAATGGAAATAAAATTCTAAAAGTGGGCCAAGATGGCTTCAGGTTAGCCATATGCATAATAAAAACTAGGCCTACATACTAAAACTGAACTCTCCTCTGCAGGGCTGGATTCTGTCAAATATTTCATCAATGTTTACTGATTACAACTTTGTCTATCAGATAAAACACAAAGGCAAGATATAATAAGTCATCACTTTCCAGATCATAAGAAACCTACATGCTCATTAACATTTTACCCTACATACCGTAACCACATATTTGCTTTATCTTACATGTAATGTAAATGAGCATCACTCAAAATTATAAGAATGTCACTTTCACTTCACTGCTCCCCTTCTTCTATTTCCTATGTAACAGAATGTATAAATACAGTGTTTTGTGTAGCCCATTTGGGAACACATTCTCAATTCTTTTGTTTGTTTTTTGTTTTTTTGGGACGGAGTCTCACTCTGTCGCCCAGGCTGGAGTGCAGTGGCGTGATCTCGGCTCACTGCAAGCCCCACCTCCTGGGTTCAAGCCATTCTCTTGCCTCAGCCTCCTGAGTAGCTGGGACTACAGGCGCCCGCCACCACGCTCGGCTAATTTTTTTGTATTTTTAGTAGAGACGGGGTTTCACCCTGTTAGCCAGGATGCTCTTGTACTCCGGACTCATGATCTGCCCGCCTCGGCCTCCAAAAGTGCTGGCATTACAGTTGTCAGCCACGACGCCCGGCCACATTCTCAGTTTGCACTGACTGAGTCTGTGTTTCCCGAGCTATTAGTCCTCAAACTTGGATCAGAATAAAATTAACTTAAAATTTCTTTAAGGTGAGGGTGGAGCCAAGATGGCCGAATAGCAGCAGCTCCAGTCTACAGCTCCCAAAGTGAGCAACGCAGAAGATGGGTGATTTCTGCATATCCAACTGAGGTACCGGGTTCATCTCACTGGGGAGTGCCGGACAGTGGGTGCAGGAGAGTGGGTGCAGCACACCGTGTGTGAGCTGAAGCAGGGCGAGACATCGCCTCACACAGGAAGCGCAAGGAGGCAGGGAATTCCCTTTCCTAGGCAAAGAAAGGGGTGACAGATGGCACATGGAATATCGGGTCACTCCCACCCTAATACTGCGCTTTTCCAACGGGCTTAACAAACGGCACACCAGGAGATTATATCTCACACCTGGCGCAGAGGGTCTTACACCCATGGAGCATCGCTCATTGCTAGCACAGCAGTCTGAGATCAAACTGCAAGGCAGCAGCAAGGCTGGGGGAGGGGTGCCTGCCATTGCCAAGGCTTGAGTAGGTAAACAAAGTGGCCAAGAAGCTTGAACTGGGTAGAGCCCATCACAGCTCAAGGAGGCTGGCCTGCCTGCCTCTGTAGGCTCCACCTCTAGGGGCAGGGCACAGACAAAGAAAAGGCAGCAGTAACCTCTGCAGACTTAAATGTCCCTGTCTGACAGCTTTGAAGAGAGTAGCAGTTCTCCCAGCACGCAGTTCGAGATCTGAGAACAGGCAGACTGCCTCCTCAAGTGGGTCCCTGACCCCCGAGTAGCCTAACTGGGAAGCACCCCCCAGTAGGGGCGGTCTGACACCTCACATGGCCGGGTACTCCTCTGAGACAAAACAACCAGAGGAACAATCAGGCAGCAGCATTTGCGGTTCACCAATATCCACTGTTCCGCAGCCACTGCTGCTGACACCCAGGCAAACAGGGTCTGGAATGGACCTCCAGCAAACTCCAACAGACCTGCAGCTGAGGGTACTGACTGTTAGAAGGAAAACTAACAAACAGAAAGGACATCCACACCAAAAACCCATCTGTACGTCACTATCATCAAAGACCAAAGGTAGATAAAACCACAAAGATGGGGAAAAAACAGAGCAGAAAAACTGGAAACTCTAAAAATCAGAGTGCCTCTCCTCCTCCAAAGGAATGCAGCTCCTCACCAGCAACAGAAGAAAGCTGGATAGAGAATGACTTTGACAAGTTGAGAGAAGAAGGCTTCAGAAGATCAAACTACTCTGAGCTAAAGGAGGAAGTTCCAACCAATGGCAAAGAAGTTAAAAACCCTGAAAAACGATTAGATGAATGGCTAACTAGAATAACCAATGCAGAGAAGTCCTTAAAGGACCTGATGGAGCTGAAAACCACGGCACAACAACTACGTGACGAATCCACAAGCCTCAGTAGCCGATGTGATCAACTGGAAGAAAGGGTATCAATGATGGAAGATGAAATGAATGAAATGAAGCAAGAAGGGAAGTTTAGAGAAAAAAGAATAAAAAGAAACAAACAAAGCCTCCAAGAAATATGGGACTATGTGAAAAGACCAAATCTACGTCTGATTGGTGTACCTGAAAGTGACGGGGAGAATGGAACCAAGTTGGAAAACACTCTGTAGGATATTATCCAGGAGAACTTTCCCAGTCTAGCAAGGCAGGCCAACATTCAAATTCAGGAAATACAGAGAATGCCACAAAGATACTCCTCGAGAAGAGCAACTCCAAGACACATTATTGTCAGATTCACCAAAGTTGAAATGAAGGAAAAAATGTTAAGCGCAACCACAGAGAAAGGTCGGGATACCCACAAAGGGAAGCCCATCAGACTAACAGCGGATCTCTCGGCAGAAACTCTACAAGCCAGAAGAGAGTGAGGGCCAATATTCAACATTCTTAAAGAAAAGAATTTTCAACCCAGAATTTCCTATCCAGCCAAACTAAGTTTCATAAGTGAAGGAGAAATAAAATACTTTACAGACAAGCAAATGCTGAGAGATTCTGTCACCACCAGGCCTGCCCTAAAAGAGCTCCTGAAGGAAGCACTCAACATGGAAAGGAACAACCAGTACCAGCCACTGCAAAAACATGCCAAATTGCAAAGACCATCAAGGCTGGGAAGAAACTGCATCAACTAACGAGCAAAATGACCAGCTAACATCATAATGACGGGATCAAATTCATACATAACAATATTAACCTTAAATGGAAATGGGCTAAATGCTACAATTAAAAGACACAGACAGGCAAACTGGATAAAGAGTCAAGACCCATCAGTGTGCTGTATTCAGGAAACCCATCTCACGTGCAGAGATACACATAGGCTCAAAATAAAGGGATGGAGGAAGATCTACCAAGCAAATGGAAAACAAAAAAAGGCAGGGGTTGCAATCCTAGTCGCTGATAAAACAGACTTTAAACCAACAAAGATCAACAGAGACAAAGAAGGCCATTACATAATGGTAAAGGGGTCAATTCAGCAAGAACTAACTATCCTAAATATATATGCACCCAATACAGGAGCACCAAGATTCATAAAGCAAGTCCTTAGTGACCTACAAAGAGACTTAGACTCCGACACAATAATAATGGGAGACTTTAACACCCCACTGTCAACATTAGACAGATCAAAGAGACAGAAAGTTCACAAGGATATCCTGGAATTGAACACAGCTCTGCACCAAGAGGACTTAATAGACATCTACAGAACTCTCCACCCCAAATCAACAGAATATACATTCTTTTCAGCACCACACCACACCTATTCCAAAATTGAACACATAGTTGGAAGTAAAGCACTCCTCAGCAAATGTAAAAGAACAGAAATTATAACAAACTGTCTCTCAGACCACAGTGCAATCAAACTAGAACTCAGCATTAAGAAACTCACTCAAAACCACTCAACTACATGGAAACTGAACAACCTGCTCCTGAATGACTACTGGGTACATAAAGAAATGAAGGCAGAAATAAAGATGTTCTTCGAAACCAATGAGAACAAAGACACAACATACCAGAATCTCTGGGACGCATTCAAAGCAGTGTGTAGAGGGAAATTTATAGCACTAAATGCCCACAAGAGAAAGCAGGAAAGATCTAAAATTGACACGGTAACATCACAATTAAAAGAACTAGAGGAGCAAGAGCAAACACATTCAAAAGCTAGCAGAAGGCAAGCAATAACTAAAATCAGAGCAGAACTGAAGGGAATAGAGACACAAAAAACCCCTCAAAAAATCAATGAATCCAGGAGCTGGTTTTTTGAAAAGATCAACAAAATTGATAGACTGCTAGCAAGACTAATAAAGAAGAAAAGAGAGAAGAATCAAATAGACACAATAAAAAATGATAAAGGGGTAACACCACCGATCCCACAGAAATACAAACTACCATCAGAGAATACTATAAACACCTCTATGCAAATAAACAAGAAAATCTAGAAGAAATGGATAAATTCCTCGACACATACACCCTCCAAAAACTAAACCAGCAAGAAGCTGAATCTCTGAATAGACCAATAACAGGCTCTGAAATTGAGGCAATAATTAATAGCTTACCAACCAAAAAAAGTCCAGGACCAGATGGATTCACAGCCAAATTCTACCAGAGGTACAAGGAGAAGCTGGTACCATTCCTTCTGAAACTATTCCAATCGATAGAAAAAAGAGGGAATCCTCCCTAACTCATTTTATGAGGCCAGCATCATCCTGATACCAAAGCCTAGCAGAGACAAAACAAAAAAAGAGAATTTTAGACCAATATTCCTGATGAACATTGATGCAAAAATCCTCAATAAAATACTGGCAAACTGAATCCAGCAGCACATCAAAAAGCTTATCCACCATGATCAAGTGGGCTTCATCCCTGGGATGCAAGGCTGGTTCACCATACGAAAATCAATAAACGTAATCCAGCATATAAAGAGAACCAAAGACAAAAATCACATGATTATCTCAATAGATGCAGAAAAGGCCTTTGACAAAATTCAACAAGCTTCATGCTAAAAACTATCAATAAATTAGGTATTGATGGGACGTATCTCAAAATAATAAGAGCTATCTATGACAAACCCACAGCCAATATCATACTGAATGGACAAAAACTGGAAGCATTCCCTTTGAAAACGGGCACAAGACAGGGATGCCCTCTCTCACCACTCCTATTCAACATAGTGTTGGAAGTTCAGGCCAGGGCAATTAGGCAGGAGAAGGAAATAAAGGGCATTCAATTAGGAAAAAAGGAAGTCAAATTGTCCCTGTTTGCAGATGACATGATTGTATATCTAGAAAACCCCATAGTCTCAGCCCAAAATCTCCTTAAGCTGATAAGCAACTTCAGCAAAGTCTCAGGATACAAAATCAATGTACAAAAATCACAAGCATTCTTATACATCAATAACAAACGGAGAGCCAAATCATGAGTGAACTCCCATTCACAATTGCTTCAAAGAGAATAAAATACCTAGGAATCCAACTTATAAGGGATGGGAAGGACCTCTTCAAGGAGAACTACAAACCACTGCTCAATGAAATAAGAGGATACAAAGAAATGGAAGAACATTCCATGCTCATGGGTAGGAAGAATCAATATCATGAAGATGGCCATACTGCCCCAGGTAATTTATAGATTCAATGCCATCCCCATCAAGCTACCAATGAGTTTCTTCACGGAATTGGAAAAAACTACTTTAAAGTTCATATGGAACCAGAAAAGAGCCCGCATTGCCAAGTCAATTCTGAGCCAAAAGAACAAAGCTGGAGGCATCACGCTACCTGACTTCAAACTATACTACAAGCCTACAGTAACCAAAACAGCATGGTACTGGTACCAAAACAGAGATACAGACCAACGGAACACAACAGAGCCCTCAGAAATAATGCCGCATATCTGCAACCATCTGATCTTTGACAAACCTGACAAAAACAAGAAATGGGGAAAGGATTCCCTATTTAAGAAATGGTGCTGGGAAAACTGGCTAGCCACACATAGAAAGATGAAACCAGATCCCTTCCTTACACCTTATACAAAAATTAATTCAAGATGGATTAAAGACTTACATGTCAGACCTAAAACCATGAAAACTCTAGAAGAAAACCTAGGCAATATCATTCAGGACATAGGCATGGGCAAGGACTTCATGTCTAAAACACCAAAAGCAATGGCAACAAAAGCCAAAATTGACAAATGGGATCTAATTAAACTGAAGAGCTTCTGCACAGCAGAAGAAACTACCATCAGAGTGAACAGGCAACCTACAGAATGGGAGAAAATTTTTACAATCTACTCATCTGACAAAGGGCTAATATCCAGAATCTACAATGAACTCAAACAAATTTACAAGAAAAAAACAAACAACCCCATCAACAAGTAGGCAAAGGATATGAACAGACACTTCTCAAAAGAAGACATTTATGCAGCAACAGACACATAAAAAAATGCTCATCATCACTGGCCATCAGAGAAATGCAAATTCAAACCGCAATGAGATACCATCTCACACCAGTTAAAATGGCGATCATTAAAAAGTCAGGAAACAACAGGTCCTAGAGAAATAGGGACACTTTTACACTGTTGGTGGGACTGTAAACTAGTTCAACCATTCTGGAAGTCAGTGTGGCGATTCCTCAAGGACCTAGAACTAGAAATACCATTTGACCCAGCCATCCCATTACTGGGTATATACCCAAAGGATTATAAATCATGCTGCTATAAAGACACATGCACACGTATGTTTATTGTGGCACTATTCACAATAGCAAAGACTTGGAACCAACCCAAATGTCCAACAATGATAGACTGGATTAAGAAAATGTGGCACATATATACCATGGAATACTATCCAGCCATAAAAAAGGATGAGTTCATGTCCTTTGTAAGGACATGGATGAAACTAGAAACCATCATTCTCAGCAAACTATCACAAGGAAAAAAACCAAACACCGCATGTTCTCACTCATAGGTGGGAATGGAACAATGAGAACACATGGACACAGGAAGGGGAACATCACACACCAGGGACTGTTGTGGGGTGGGTGGAGGGGGAGGGATAGCATTAGGAGATACACCTAATGCTAAATGACAAGGTAATGGGTGCAACACACCAACATGGCACATGTATATATATGTAACGAACCTGCACATTGTGCACACGTACCCTAAAACTTAAAGTATAATAATAAAATTAAAAAAAAATGTCTTTAAGGTATAATGCCTTTTACTTAACCTTTAGGTTGACAGATGGCATAGTCGGCAGAATTCCAGCCAGATTCAGGGACACACAGGACTCATCTTAAGGAACTCAGTTCTTGGTACCAGCACAAAAGCATTGTGTTTGATCCAACTCTAGGGGAACCACTGGGTTTACATGGTGGGTTACCTGGAATCCAGTCGTCCCTCTCTTTTGCTAGAGGTCTAAATTAGCTTTACTTAGGACCTCTAAGAGGAGTAGTACATCATGTGTTTGCTAAGTTCTCCCTAGGGTTATCCCTTTGTTCTAAATTGCTACGAAGAAAGGAAAGAAAAGTAAGGTCAACCAAGCATTGCTGCAGTTAAAATGGTGGTTTCTTTGATCAGCTGAATGTTTCTCTTTTCAAACCTCTTTTGTCTGTACCAACCCTTTTATATTCCTTCTGAGAGCAATTGCGATAAAATTGCTCCAAAGTTATGAGACATTTGCTCCCTCCAGCCCAAATCTCAGATATTCTTAGGTAACTAAGGATCTCTTAGAGGTGTTGGAAGGGGATCTCTCCTGATGGGCAGTCCCATAGGGTTCCCCCAGAAGGACAAAAACAAACAAAACAAAACAAAACAAAACAAAAACAAACAAACAAACAAAAAAAGCAGGTAAAATACTTAAGGTCCTCTGGGAAATGCTCACAAATGGGTGGTCACCTAGCATTTGGAGTACTGCACTGCCTCGCATGAAGGTGAGCTTTCTTGAGACACATGAGGGTAACCTACTTGGGGTTGAGAGCCTGAGGAGTGTACCTCTTAGCAATACACCTTTGACCTTAAATACATCCTTGACTTGGTGTAGACAAAGGAGAGAAGAGGGGAAAACATAAGAAATAATACATCTAACTGAAAGTATAAGGAAAACACCTCCTAAGACACCAGCTGGATTTATGACTAAAAATTATAATGCTTCTTGTAAATTTTTGACTCATTAGACCAACATCATTAAAAATGAAATTAGTTTAATTTGGCCAAAATGGGACTCTTTTGAGATCCCGAAACTGGTTTACTTATGGGCACAATTGCAAAGAGCTGGCTCAAGAATTAAGCAGAAAGAATGGGATAGAATTTCAAATGGCATTTAGAAACTTTACAAAGGGGAATGATAAAATTGCTTCTATACATGAAGTGAACCACAATATCTTGGAAACCATTTCTCGACTGAAAAAATTATTCAAAGTTTCCACTGTTTTGCCTTCTCTTGCTACCACTCCTTCCCCTCTGCTTCTTGAACCTTCCTCTCACTTGGTTTCAGAACTGCCTTGTCCAGATTTTCTTCACTCCCTCCTCCACCACCCTCTGAGGTTTTAGCAGCACTCTTTAGAGAAAAAACTAAACCAAGTGGGGAACCTTCAATAACCTATATCTCCAGGACTAAGGCATAATTCAGAGATAGTGCTAAGGAGTTTCCTGATCCTACCCAAGATCCTGTAGGTGTCACTAAGAAATTCAATCTAACCACCAGGACTTATGAACCTGACTATTGAGATTTATAACAATTAATTTATATGCTGGCATCTGAAAGAAAAAGCTGAATAATGGCTATCAAAAGGTTGACTAGAAAAATCCACTAAGCAATTTTCTTAAGCAGACAGCTGAAGACAGGGAGAAGGCCCAAGAACCAGTAAATTGTTTCGCACAAATAATTCCCCAGGTATTTTCTAAGATTGCTTGCTGGTCAGTCTAAAGTCCAGCACTGTAAACAGGACCAAATGAAACTATGCTAGACTATTATATTGAAAGATTTGAAAAGGTTTTCAAACAATATTTGGGAATGAATGAAGACAGTCTAAGGAATTGTCAAAATGATTCTTTATTAAATTCAACCTTTCTTAACAGATTGGATGAGCAATTGGCCAATGTGGTCAAATTGCACCAAATAAATTGGGATTGCGTACACACTTCGGAATTAGGGAAACTGATAAACTGACCAAAGTTATACAGCCAAAGAAGGATAACAAGATCACTAAAATCACGAACTTACAACTCCAGCAACTCACTGGTCAGATATGCAGATCAAAATAGAGGACTCCCTTTCCAAAGGGAACCTCAGAAACATCTAAATGTGTCTGTTATTATTGCAAGGAACCAGGACATCTGAAGAAAGATTGCAAAAAGTTGAAATGGGCACAGAAATTAACAAGAATAAATATAAAAGAAAGAAGAGGTATGGGAGGCTCTGAGGAAATAAAGAGGGCCTTTCCCTTGCTTTTAAGTCATAATCTGGGGGAAGTGAAGATAGATAAATAGGTAGATAGGTAGGTAGGTAGGTAGGTAGATAGATAGATAGGTAGATAGATAGATAGATAGATAGATAGATAGATAGATAGATATAATAGAGAACAAATTAAAGCATTAATTGACACAAGAGCTACCTTTTCTATCCTCAACCCCACCTTTCCTAAAGAGCCTTCTTCCTCAGAGTAATCAAACTATTCAAATATTAGGGGTATCTAATCAACCAATGACACTATATAAATCAAAACTTTTGCCTTTACAATTAGGAAATTTAGATGAATACCATTCTTTCCTTTTGGTGCCTTCCACACCAAAACATTTGATAGGAAGAGATTTTCTGGAACTTTATAATGATCATATTTTCTTCTCAAAAAGAAGGAAAATGATTTTGGAAATGACTGAAAAAGAACTGACTAAAAATGACAGATCTGAAATTTTGAATCAGATTAAAATTAAAATTCAAACACCAAGTATTATAACAGAAAAAGAACTTGATGATTTGCTAACACATATTCCTAACTATGGTTCCAATCATCTACTGAAATAGAAGGAATTTTAGTGGCCAATACAAGTACAGGTGGATCCAAATAAGCCACTTTTGAATATTAAACAATATCCATCAAAACAGGAAGCTGTAATAGGAATAAAACCAACAATCAAAGATTTCATTGATAAAGGATTATCTCTTATTTCAGTCTTTGTAATAGCCCCATGCTCCCAGTAAGAAAATCTTATAGGAAAGGATAGAGATTTGTACAAGGTTTGAGCATTATTAACAATATTATGATTCCCCATCATCCAGCAGTCCCAAGCTCTCATACTCTTTTGTCCAATATACTTGTAAGCAATTAATATTTTACTGTAATTAATTTACATATGTTTCTTTAGCATACCAATAGACCCTGTCAGTAAATATTTGTTTGCCTTTACCTGAGATGGCTTTCAATATACCTAGAATGTTATGCCTCAAGTTATACCAAAAGTCCAACTTATCTTTTGTAAATATTAAGGGCTGACCATGCTGAGCTAAATTTTGAAGGAAATTCCATTCTACTTAAGTATATGGATGATCCCTTGTTATGCTCCACAAATCTGCTATATTGTAAAACCTATTCCCTGTACTTGCTGGAACAGTTAGCAAAGAGAAGTCATGAGGTATCCAAAGAAAAACTCAAATTTTGCTTAACAGAAGGAAAATATTTGGAACATTTAATTTCTAAGGGGGGACTACACATAAATCCAAATTGAGTAACTAGAATTCTTGTATACCCCACTCCAAAAACTAGACAGCTAAGGGGGGTTTTAGGTTTAGCTGGCTACCCTAGCTGGATCTCCAATTTTACTCTCATGGTACAGCAGTTATATACATTGTTGAAAGAAGATCAACTTAAGCCCACGTACTGAACATCAGAAGAACAAAGAGCTATTCAAGAAAAAAAAGAAAATCTTACAATAGCCCCTGTTTTGGGCCATATTTGGGCTGCTGCTTTTCCTTTTTTTCTCATGAGAGCCACGGCAGCATGCTGAGGGTTCTAACCCAAAACCATGGAGGACAGTATAGTCCTATTTTCTTATAATAATCTATTGGCTATGATAGTCAGCAATTATGCCCTGTAGCATACCCCCTTGTCTGAGGGCCACTTTAGCCATTGCCATGCTCCTTAAGGCCACTCAGGAAATTGTAATGGATGCTCTGTTGACTTTATATGTATCTCACTCTGTAGAAGCTCTCTGGAATTCACATATCATACTCAGCATTTTTCTGTTAGCAGACTGGATTCTTAAGTACTCTTACTCTCTCATCCACATGTTACTATCTCTCCCTGTAATACTCTTCATTGCCTCTGTTTTTGCTGCCTGAAACAGTTGATGAGATAACTCATTACTGTATTTTTCTCACAGAACAGCTTTTGATGTCCAGACAGGATTTACAGGAGACACTCCCGGAAAATGCTGATGTTATCTGATTCATTGATGGATCATACCTAAGGGATGGATTTGGGAAATAACGGGCAGGCTATGCCATTGTGTCCCTTGTGGACATCATAGAAAGCAATCCCTTACCTAAAGAAAAATCAACATAGTTAGCTTAGTTAACAGCACTCATCAGAGCTTGTCATTTGGCCAAAAAACAAATGGCTAATATTTACACTGACAGACGTTACATGTAGCTCATGACCTTGGAATGTTATGAAAGCAAAAAGAACATTTAAACTACTCTGGACAATCTAGCAAACATAGCTGTCAGGTTTCTGACCTCCTCCTAGAAGCCATCCAATTACAAAAAAATAAGTGGCTATTACAATTCCTGGACATCCCAAACTTGACTCTCCGGAGGGTAAAGGAAATCATTTTGCTGATGAAGCAGCCAAAAAGGCTACTATAACACAAATAGCAGATGAAACTACAAAGGTAGCTATGTTTAAAAGAAATTCCATCAAAAAGGAGCTCCGTGAAACTCAAGAAAAGGCTTTAGAGAGAAAAAGGCAGATATAGCTAATCAAGGGGGAGTGCTACCTCCCAACAAAAGCCCCCCACCCTTGCTTGTAATTTATGGTATGGACCCAACGACAGACCTATTTTGCTGATGGGATTTCAGTTTGCTATGCTACAACATGTTTATAAGCTTACTCACTGGGGACCTAAGAAAATGACTGCCTGGGGAAACCAATATTATGGGAAACCCTTACTAGCATAGCTTATAAGGTTTATGCAAAATATCCAATTTGTTCAAAGCATAATCCAGGGAAGCCTTTTCACGGATCTCAAGGTTGTTTCTCTTTGCCCATCAGAGCTTTTGAAATTTGGCAAATGGATTTTATCCAATTACCTCCAGACCAAGGTTATAAATACGTATTAGTTAAGATGTGCATGTTTTCTCATTATGTTGAAACATTTTCTTGTAGAACAGCCACTGCACAAGGAGTAGGAAAATATTTATTTTGGAACAGGTAACTCCCTCTTGGGGAATTCCTTCCAAATTACACAGTGATAGGAAACTCATTTTTGTGGGACAGATAGTTCTCTCAGTTTGTAAAATCAGGCCCATTTTCCAATATTTTTATTGTGTAAACCATCCACAGTCCTCTGCATTGGTGGAATGAACAAACAGAATAATAAAAACCCAACTGTCAAAATTAACTAAAGCTTTTCAAATTACTCGGCCCAAGTCTCTTCCATTGGTTTTAGTTAACCTAAGAGCAACTCCTTTTGAAAAACATCAATTATCCCCCTGCAAGATAATTACAGGTTAATCTGGATGAGACTGGATAGAGGATTTCTCCATCCTCATTCAATAACAAACCAACTTATTGAAAGGGGATACGCTCCATTTCTGTCAAGGCTTAACCAAACTTCTCTCCCAAAAAGCTAAATTGATAAAACTCTTTTTACAGTGCACTGCTGAGCAATAAAGGTCTTAAGTATCATGATCACTAGACATAGGACTATGTTTATTGGAAGAGACATCAACTAAAGGGTTCACCTGAACTTTGTTGGAGAGAACCTTATCAAGTATTATTGACATACCATACCTGTGCAGCTATAATCACTGTGCAACTAAACTTGATATGGTTGACTCCTGGTGTTACATTTCTCATTTAAAGAAAACTCCAACACCTGAATGGACTTCTGAGTCTACCAGAGATCTCCAGTTAAAGACCTCTAAGATTCCTGAGCCCTTCAAGGATGGAAAGTAGATGACATCTGAGTAAACAGCATTTTCCAAAATACTGGACCAGGTCTGTACTCATGTCAATTTTTTTAACATATACCTTTTGTTTTTGTATTTTTGTTATGATGACTGAATGTCTGGTAATTCCCCCTGCTTTGCTTGATTCCCATTCCTCTTACTAGGAAACCACTAATCTAATTAATATGGAAGTAGGGCAAACCTTTATTTTTCATTATCAAGTGGACATTGAAACCCTGATGTCAAGTTTTTGTAACTAGCCCAGTGCTCCTACAGCATCTTCTTTTTAGGATTAAGATACTACCAGGGCCCCCGTTTAAGGAAACACATCCAGGAAGTTCTTCCCAATTCCATGCCTGATTGGGCAGTTTTTAATACTTTGCAAGTAGATCACTGTATTACTATGAATATAGTTAATCAGTTAGTATCCAAAAGCCCTGATAAAATGGAAGACAGCTTCAGCTAGTGTGCCTTGTCATAGTATTTCTTGTTCTGGGGGTCAGGGACCTTATTTTTGTGACTGGAGGTCTATGAAACATTCTAATGAAACTGGGATTCATACAATGGGGATTACTTGGTGAACAAGGATATCACTGAAGGACAATTTGAGGATCCAACCAGAGAGAATGTGAAAAGCCTTTTGGCATATCCAAACTAAACTATATCTACAGGTAACTTCTACCCATCTCACCTGAACTTGGAACACCCAACATTTTGGGTTGTCAACCTGTACCCAAACTGCACTCCTGCTATAAATGCCCAATGGCAATAACATATTTGCTGTCTTATCAAACATGTCTTATCAACAACCCAAACATGTTTGATAACACAGCACTGGCCAGCTAAGGTCAAAACAGCATTAGGTGCCATAGGGGCAGGACTTAGGATATTAGGACAAGTTGGGAATGTATTTAATAAAGAAATATATTGACAAGAAGAGTCAATACTTACCAATCTAAATAGAAGGAATACTCTTTCAGAAGGAATATAAGGGTTGGAAGCTGCATGGAAAGATAATGATGCTACTGCTAAGTGGGTAAATCAAACTGCTCAAGTAATGAGGAACTATGCCAAAACTCAGCAATGGGAAAAGGCATGTGTCCAAACTCAACAAGGTTTGCTGACCATGCTAATTCAAATGGAAGCAGAGTACCTCTAAAACATGACCAACCATTTTGGATGCAGAAGCAGAAGGTATACATTTGTGGAAAAAATATAGACCCTCTTTTTTCTGAAAAATTACTACCAGGGTTAAGCACCCTGCATATACAGTATATGTGTGTGTATATATATATATATACACACACACACATATGTGTGTGTGTGTGTATGTGTGTGCGTGTGTGTGTGTGTGTGTATGTGTGTGTATAAAATACTTCAATTTCAGTTCTACATAGTAAAGACATTCAGGAAGAATGGTACTGTCCCCAAAATGTGTGGAATCCTGAAATCACGGACCCTAATTTCAACCCCCCTCCAAAATAATATATGCTATATAGGAAAAGGATGCTTCTGTTGGGAAGGGAAAAGGAATGAGACTATAACTGCTTCAGATCTTGCTTGCAATCAGATAATATTTGATTTAAATTAAACGGCTATTTGGTGTAATACTGGCTTCATAGGGAAGTTACTTCTAGGAAAAAAATAACACTTATAATAATGAAGACATTGATAACCAAGTATTTTGGGAATTTGAACTCGATCCTTCTCAAGCTGTACTCCCAGCAGCAAAAGATTGTCCAAACCAGCGATGAGATATTATAAATGATCAGTTAATTACAGTTCTAAATGAAATCAAAGATATTTTGAGGTACAAATACAAAGAAAAAGGAAAAATTTATCTGATTATTCACAGACTACCAAAATGTATGCTCAGGTGATGTATGTTCCAACTATCAAAATGTATGTTCTTTTCTATAATATGTTGTTTCTTTTCTATTGTCTTTACCACAGTGGACCTCTCAGTTACTCACTGTATTATTGATTATTTTTCTAATGTTTCTATGTTACAAATGTTATAAATGCTGCAAAGGTTACTTACAAATGTCACAAAAGGAATACAACTCTAACCAAAATTGTAGTTCATCAATTTGAACCCGAGGACACAGAATGCGTATAAAGGTGGTCTTCTAATGCCCATTTTGCCTCTTTCCTCTATTTCTGACTGACTGAGGGCTTTTCATTTTTATTTTTAATCTCAAATTCTCAAGAATTATTAAAAGTACATCACATTGAATATTCTTCCACCCAGCTCCTCAAGGCATCTCAGCAATACTGCAGACAATGCAACACATCATCACATCTCAAGAGCGCCTAAAGAAATAATCCCAATGCAGTGATTATCTCATTTCTCTGTGAAATGAAAAGACACCAGCATAGGATAAGAGCCTTTTCACATAATGAAAAGAAATACAGTAGCTTTTGCATTCTCATTGACATAGCAGAGGATGGTGTTTCACATAGGAATTAAAAAGAGAACAAGGGCATTTCAGAATTCCAATTTGATCCCCTAAATGCTATAATTCTAAAAAATGAGACCTGTCCTCTTCAAATCTCTAAATTATTTTATATAGTCTTCAAAGTCCTCCCTTGGATGATATCAACCAAAAGGGAGAAATTTTCAGAAAAAGGAATATCCAAATAAAATTGTAAAAGTGGAAGCAAGATGGCAGAATAGAAGCCTACACCACTTGGCACCTCCTCCCTTGCAGGAACACCAAATTTTAACATGTGCACACAGAAAAGCACTATCACAAGAACCAAAAATCAGATGAACAATTACAGTACCTGATTTTAACTTCATATTACTGAAAGAGGCATTGAAGAGGGTCAGAGAGACAGTCATGAATCACCGAAACCACACCTACCCCATTCCCCAGCCGATGGCACCATGGCACAGAAAAAGAATGTGTGTAATTGGAGGAGGGAGAGTGCAGTAACTGCAGGACTTAACGTTGAAATCAATGCTGCCCTGTCACAGTGGATAACAAAGCTCTGCTGGGCACAGCCAGAACCTGTGCATGAAAGTAGCAGTTGGACCAGACTTAGCTAGGAGGGAATCACCCATCCCAGCAGTTGGAATTTGAGTTTCTTGGCAAGCCTTGGCACCACAGGCCAAAGTGCTCTGCAGTTCTAGACAAACTTGAAAGGTAGTCATGGACACAAAGACTGCAATTCCCAGGCAACAACTAGTGTTGGGTTGGACTCAGAGCCAGTGGACTAGAGTGGCACCAGCCTAGAGAGGCAACAACCAGGGCAGCTAAAAGGAATGCTTGCTTCAACCCTCTTCCAACCCCAGGCAGTGCAGCTTGCAGCAATGAAAGAGACTCCTTCCTTCTGCTTAAGAACAGGAGAGTGAAGAGTAAAGGGGACTTTGTCTTACATCTTGGATACCAGCTCAGCCACAATAGGTTAGGCACCGTGCAGAGTCATGAGGCTCCTGTTCCAGACCCCAGCTTATGAAGACATTTTTAGACACACCCCGGGCCAAAAGGAAACCTGCTGCCTTGAAGGGAAGAACTCAGTCCTGGGAAGATTCATCACCTGCTAACTAAAGAGCCCTTGGGTTCTAAATAACCAACAGAAATATCCAGGTATTACGCCATGAGCCTTGGGTGAGACTCTAAGACATGCTGACTCCAGGTGAGATCCAGTACACTTGCAGTTATGGTGGCTACAGTAAAAGACTCCTTCTCTCTGCAAAAAAGCAGAGGGGCAGGTAAAGGTGACATTGTCTTGCACTTTAGGTCCCAGCTTGGTCATAGCAGGGATAGAGCAACAAGCAGGCTCTTGGAATCCTGAATAGTATATATCTGGTGAAAATATCCTTCAAGTATGAAGAAGAAAAAAGACTTTCCAAGGCAAACACAAGTTGAGGGATTTCATCAACACCAGTCCTTTCCTACAAGAAATGCTAAAGGGACTTCTTCACAGAAAGAAAAGGACATTAATGAGAAATAAGAAATCATGTGAAGGCACAAAATTCACTGGAAATAGTAGGCATGCAGAAAAATTCAGAATATTATAGCATTGTAATCATGGTATGTAAACTACTCTTAAGTAGAAAAACTAAAAGATGAACCAATCAAAAACAATAACTACAAAACTTTTTGAGACATAGACAGTATAGTAAGACATAAAGTTAAAAAACAGGTGGATGAAGTTAAAAAGAGTTTTTATTAGTTTTCTTTTTGTATGTTTATTTCATTATGCAATCAGCACTGTTGTCATCAGTTTAAAATAATGGGTTATAAGACAGTATTTGCAAGCCTAATGGTAAGTGCAAATTGAAAAATATGCAACAGATTCACAAAAAATAAAAAGCAAGAAATTAAGTCATACCACCAGAGAAAAACAATTTCACTTAAATAAATAAAAACAAAGACAGGAAGAAAGGAAAGAGGGAACAGAAGACCGCAAAACAAATAACAAAATGGCAGGAGTAAGTCCCTACTTTTCCACAATAACATTGAATGTAAATGGGGTGAACTCTTCAATAAAAAAAAATATAGTGGCCGAATGGATGAAAAAACAAGACCTAATGATCTCTCCTTTACAACAAACATACTTCACCCGTAAAGATACAAATAGACTCAAAATAAAGAGATGGAAAAAAGATATTCCACGTGAATGAAAACCAAAACACAGAAGGAGTTGCTATACTTATTTAAACAAAATAGAGTTCAAGACAAAAACCATAAGAAGAGAGAAACAAGGTCATTATTAAATGATAAAGTGGTCAATCCAGCAAGATGATATAAAAATTGGAAATATATATGCACCTAAAACTGGAGCACACAGATACATAAGGCAAATGTTATTAGAGCTAAAGAGAGAAATAGATCTCAGCGAATGAATAGCTGGAGACTTCAATACCCCACTTTCAGCATTAGACACATCTTCCAAACAGAAAATCGACAAAGAAACATCAAATTTAATTAGCACTATAGGACAAATGGACCTAATAAATATTTACAGAACATTTCATCCAACAGCTGCAGAATACACATTCTTCTCTTCAGCACATGGATCATTCTCTAGAATAGACCATATGTTAGGTCACAGAATTGGGTCCAAAAAATTCAAAAAAAATGAAATTGTAATCAGGCATCTTCTCTGAACACAATGCAATCCAACTAGAAACCAATAGAAGAGGAATTTTGGAAACTATACAAACACGTGAAAATTAAACGATGCGCACCTGAATAACAAGTGGGTCAATGAAGAAATTAAGGTGGAAATTTAAAAATTTATTGAAACAAATGTTAATGGAAACACAACATACCAAAATCTATGGGATATAATGAGAGCAGTACTAAGAGGAGAATTTATTGCTATAAATGGCTACATCAAAAAAGAAGAAACACTTCAAATAAGTAACCTAATGATGCATCTTAAAGAACTAGAAAAGCAAGAGCCAATCAAACCCAAAATTAGTAGAAGAAAAGAAATGAGACATGCTGACTCCAGGTGAGACCCAGTCTAATCTAAAGATTACAGCAAAAATAAGTGACTTTGAAATGAAGAAAAAAATCAAAAAAATCAATTACCATGAAAGCCAGTTTTTTGAAAAGATAAACTTGGAAAACCTTTAGTTAGACAAATTAAGAAAAAAAAAGGCAGATGACTCAAATAAAATCAGAGACGAAAAAAGAGACATTGCAATAGATACCGCAGAAATTCAAAGGATCATTAATGGCTACTAGGAGCAACTCTACGCCAAAAAATCAGAAAATCTAGAGGAAGTAAATTGCTAAACACATACAACCTACCAAGATTGAACCATGAAGAAATTCTTAATCTGAACAGACCAATAACAAGCAATAATATCAAATCCATAATAAAATGTCTTCCAGTGCAGGACTCAATGGTTTCACTGCTGAATTCTATCAAACATTTAAAGAAGAATACCACTGTACTCAAACTATTCCAAAAAATATAGGAGGAAGGAATATCTCTAAACTCATTCTATGAGGCCAGTATTACTCTCACAGCAAAATCAGACAAAGACATATTAAAAACAAAAAACTACAGGCCAATATTTCTGATGTATATTGATGCAAAAATCCTCAACAATATCTAGCAAACCAATGTCAATGATACATTAGAAAGATTATTCATCATGACGAAGAGAAATTTATCCCAGGGATGCAAAGATGCTTCCATGTATGCAAATCAATCAATGTGACACACTATATCAACACAATAAAGGACAAAAACGATACAATTATTTCAATTGGTGAGATGATTGATAAAAATCAACATCCTTTTATGATAAAATTCAACATCCCTTCATGATAAAAACCCTTGAAAAAACTGGGTATAGAAGGAACATACCTCAACATAATAAAAGCCATATATTTCAGACTTGCAGCTAGTATCACACTGAATGGGGAAAAATGGAAACAGCCTTTCCTCTAAAATCTGGGACATGACAAGGATGCCCACTTTCACCACTGTTATTCAACATAGTACTGGAAGTCTTAGCTAGAGCAATCAGACAAGAGAAAGAAACAAAGGGCATCCAAATTGGAAAGAAAGAAATCAAATTATCCTTGTTTGCAAATGATATGACCTTGTATTTGGAAGAATCTAAAGACTTCACCAAAAAACGATTAGAACTGACGAACAAATTCAGTAAAGTTGCAGAATACAAATAAATACACAAAAATCAGTAGCATTTCAATATGCCAACAGTGAAGAATGTGAAAGAGAAATCATGAAGCAATTCCATTTACAAGAGGTACAAATAAAATTAAATACCTAGGTATTAACCAAAGAAATGAAAGATCTCTCTAATGAAAATTACAAAACACTGGTGAAAGAAATTGAAGAAGAGACACAAAAAAACTGAAATACATTTCATGTTCATGGATTGGAAGAATCAATATTGTTAAAATGTCCACAGTACCCAAGACAATCTACAGATTCAATGCAATCCCTATCAAAATACCAATGAAATTCTTCAGAGTAATAGAAAAAAACTATCCTAAAATTTATATGAAACCACAAAAGACCCAGAACGGCCAAAGCTATTCCTAGAAAAAAGAACAAAATTGGAGGAATCACATTAACTGACTTCAAATTATACTACAGAGCTTCAAATATACTTCAAATTATACTATAGGAACCAAAACAGCATGGTATTGGCATAAAAACAGACACATAGACCAATGGAGCAGAAGAGAGAATCCAGAAACAAGTCCACACACCTACAATGAACTCATTTTTGACACAGGTGCCAAGAATATACACTGGGTAAAAGACAGTCTCTTCAATAAGTAGTGCTGGGAAAACTGGATATCCATAAGCAAAAGAATGAAACAAGACCCTTGTCTCTTGAAATATACAAAAGTCAAACCAAAATGGATTAAAGAGTTACATTTAAGAATCAAACTCTGGGCCAGGTGTGGTGGCTCACGCCTGTAATCCCAGCACTTTGGGAGGCCGAGGTGGGCAGATCACGAAGTCAGGAGAACAAGACCATACCGGCTAACACAGTAAAAACCTGTCTCTACTAAAAATACAAAAAATTAGCCAGGCGTGGTGGCACCTGTAGTCCCAGCTACTCGGGAGGCTGAGGGAGGAGAATGGCGTGAACCCGGGAGGCAGAGCTTGCAGTGAGCAGAGATCGTGACACTGCACTCCAGCCTGGGGGACAGACAGAGCGAGACTCAATCTCAAAAAAAAAAAAAAAAAAAAAAAATCAAACTCTGAAACTACTACAAGAAAACCTTGAAGAAACTCTCCAGGACATTGGTCTGGGCAAAAATTTATTGAGTAATACCCCATGAACACAGGCAACCAAAGCAAAAGTAGACATAGTGATCACATCAAGTTAAAAAGCTTCTGCACAGCAAAGAAAACAATCAACAAAGAGACCACCCAAAGACTAAGAGAAAATAGTTGCCAACTATCCATCTGACAAGGGTTTAATAACCAGAATATATATGGAGCTCAAACAACTCTATAGGAAAAAAAATCTAATAATCTAATCAAAAAGTAGGCAAAATATCTGAATAGATATTTTTCAAAAGAAGTCACACAAAAGGCAAAAAGTCATATAAAAAGGTGTTCAACATCATTGATCATCAGAGAAATGCAAATCAAAACCTTTTACCCTATATACAGTGGTAACCACATATTTGCTTTACCTTGTGTAAAAAGTCCCTGACCACCGATCAAAATGGAAAGAACGTCCCCTTTGTTTCACTGCTCCCCTTCTCCAATTTTCTATGTATCAGAATATATAAATATTGTGTTTTGTATAGCCCACTCGAGGAGATACAATGTCACCCATTTAAAATGGCTTTTGTCCAAAAGACATGCAATAACAAATGCTGGAGAGAATGTGGAGAAAAGGGAGCCCACCATACCTTGTTGGTGGGAATACAAATTAGTACAACTACTATGGAGAACATTTTGGAGGTTCCTCAAAAAACTAAAAATAGAGCTACCATAACATCTAGCAATATAACTGCTGTGTATATACCCCAAAGAAGGGAAATTAGTATATCAAAAAGATATCTGCACTCTCATGTTTGTTATAACACTGTCCACAAAGCCAAGATTTGGAAGCAACCTAAGCGTCCATCAACAGATGAGTGGATAGAGAAAATGTTTTTACACACAATGGAGTACTATTCAGCCATAAAAAGGAATAAGATTCTCTAATTTGCAACAATATGGATAGTCATTATGTTAAGAGAAAAAAAAAACAGGCACAGAAAGACAAACATCACAGGTTTTCACTTATTTGTGGGATCTAAGATTCAAAACAGTTGAACTCATGGAGATAGTACAAGGATTGTTAGTACAGGCTGGGAAAGGTGGTAAGTGGTGGGACAGAAGTGAGGATGGTTAATAAGTGCAAAATATTTATATATAAAGAATGAGTAAGACCTAGTATTTGATAGTACAATGGGCTTACTATAGTCAATAATAATTTAATTATAAATTTAAAAATAACTAAAGGAGTATAATTGGATTGTTTATAACTCAAAGTATAAATGCTGAGGAGATAGATTCCCCATTTAGCATATTGTGATTATTATGCATTGCAAGCCTGTATCAAAATATAATATGTGTCCCATAAATATATACACCTACTATGCACCCATAAGAAAAAAAAATAAGACTTAAGTTTATGAGCTAAAGCAATAAAGCTATTCATTTCAAAATTTGAAAAACAAAATTTAAGTGACCCAAGATGTCTGCTGATTTGACATACAGATAACAAAAACTTGGCCTATAAACTAAAGCTTGTTAACAAAAGACCACGAGATCTATGGAGAAAAAAGACAGCTTTATCTTCTTAAAAAAAATCAATCTTCAGATTAGGGAGATGCAGCCTTCTGTAAAACAGAAGTGCACTCCCAAGCTGGGTGGCAGAGAGTTAGAAATTATAAAGGCAAACTGCAGTGCAAAGAACTGTAGTCAGGGCAGTGAGGAACAGTCTTGATGGGAAAACTTAAACCCCAAATCACCAGCCTCTCTTAGTTGGCTGGTTCCAGGTGGTTGGTGGGTTGGCATCAGGTGGTCTTTAATGGTCAGTTGAAGAATTCCCAGCTGCAATTGTTTTTCAGGAACTATTCCTTGACTTGGTTGCAGAAAAACAAATTTTGCAATACTTTCTAAGGACAGAGAGTGTGACTACACCCCTCACCCTGCCATGGACTCTTGGGTCTCCTTTTACTTTTGAGCCACAGGAAGTTTATCTTGTCTGTTAACTGAGAGTATAATTTGGCAAGTTGGAACTCCCTGCTGCAGGGCTGGAGGCTGTCAAACATTTCATTGACACGTACTGATTACAACCTTGTCCATCAGATAAAACAGGATATAATCAATCATCTCCCTCCAGAGACTAGGACACCTATATGCTCATTAACCCTATATACAGTGGTAACTACATATTTGCTTTATCTTTTGTATAAAGTCTCTGAACACCAATCAAAATAGAAAGAATGTCACCTTTGTTTCACTGCTCCCCTTCTCCTATTTTCTGTGTAATAGAACTGTGCCTTGTATAGCCCACTCGAGGACATATTCTCAGTTTGGGGTAAGTTTGTGTTTCCCAGGCTATTAATCCTTGAAATTGGCTTAGAATAAAATTAACTTAAAATTTCTTTAAGGTGTAATGTCTGTTATTTAACCTTTTAGTTGACACAATGTCCAATACACAATGTGAAATACACACACACACACAAACTAGAAATAAAGAATTATTTTTGACCAGTTTATATTTAGCACTACCAAATAGAATTCAAATTATTCATTTTAAGTGACTGTCATTTAGAAAACTCAATTTGATTCAGTTTTCACAAAACATAAAAGTGATAATAATGTTTGAGATTTCTGTATTTGAGAGATACAAATACAATTAAAATATGGTGCCTTTCCTTAGGAAATTAAATCTAGAGAAAAAGGACTGACCTATAAACTAACATTATCACATCTGAAGATCCTAAATTCCATGATAATGCTGGGGTGATTTTAGGAGAATTACTCAAGAAAAAAGTTTGATTAATATCACATTCTGTAAAAGTATGACAAGAGCTAGAGAATAGACAAATATAAATTTAAATATGAATAAGACATATTTTACACATATCTGTCTCTTAACAGGGTTCCTTGTCTATTTTTGCCCCTTCATTCAAAGAATATAAATAACTTTATCCAATAAACAATATACCTAAAATTTGAAAGTAGCTAAAAATACAATTCTTTCTCTTCAAAACCATAAAAGAACATGAAGGCTTTTAATTGTTTTGTAATCTAACCAGCCTAAATCAATGTCATTTAGGTCATTCATGAAGGAGCGAAGGAATCAATAGAGATGAAACAGTAATTAAAGAAATTATGAAAAAAAACCATAGGCTGAAGAAATATAAATTTTGTAATTAAAAGGACTAAGAAAAGCAAGCAAAAGTATAGAGACTAAATGTAAATGACCAGTGAACATAAGAAATAATACTAAACTGAATAGAGGAAATGATTGATTTGTGGCTCACTAAACAAGACAGAATTGGTCATGAAGAACTGAACACTGAATGTCACTGTAAATATTCAAAAGACTGGCTGTAGAAAGTTAGGAAGCTTCTTGATATAAAATATCCGAATATCTTTATGAAAATACATTCTGCTGACAATTACATTAATACATTTTCTAAGGTGATACCTGATGAAAGCTGCAAACCAAAAATAAAATTCTAAGCCCGCTTCGACCCTAACCATCTGAATGGACTCCTTCCTCTCAGCCAGGGCACTCCAGAGTTAACCTAAAAGACTGGTTCAGGCCATGATGGAAAGCAGGGGGTGGTCAGACATGCCTCATTATACCTCCTCCCTTTTGGAATGCAGGGAAAGCTGGCCAGCATTTAACATCAACACAGACCTTAAGTCTGATAAGAAATATTTACAATCTATTCTCTCTGAAGCCTGCTAC